>NW_011332700.1:0-148762 GCF_000001405.40 Homo sapiens
CCATATACACTACATGGTGTCCTCGTTTTTAACATCTTATATTACTATGGTACATTTGTAACAATTAATGAGTCACTATCAATACATTATTATTAACTAAAGTTCATACATCCTTCAAATTTCTTTAGTTTACCTTTAATGGCCTTTTTCTGTTCACAGATTTCATCTAGAATGCAATATTACATTCAGCTGTCATATCTTTGTAGACTCCTCTGGACTGACAGTTTCTTATACTTTCCTTGTGCTTTAAGACCTTGAGACGTTTCAGGAATTTTGGTCAGATATTTTATAAAATATCCTTCAGTGGGAATTTGTCTGATATTTTTCTTATGATTAAACTGGGATTTTGGATGGAAGACCACAGAGATAAAGTGCATATTAGTGCATTTTATCAGCATATATTACCACTATCGATGTTAATCTTGATCACCTAGCTTAAGTAGTATTTGTCAGGTTTCTCTGCTATAAAGTAACTCTTTTTCTTCCTTTCCATATTGTGCCAGAGTGAGGAGTTATACTGCACCTCCTAGAAATGAGGATATGTACATAAATTATTTGAAATTAATCTCTATGGAAGATTTGTCTCTTTTACCCCATCTATATAAGTCTGGACTCATGGAGATTTATTTGATACTTTGGTTTTAGAATCCAATACTACATTATTTTGTTACTTACGTTGTTCAGCTGTAGCTGTTGATAGTTCTTTCAGGCTGGCTCTGATGTCCCTTTGACATGCCTCTGCACCGTCCCCCCCTACATCATTTTGGTTTCTTGAGCCCTTTCTTACCTTCTGGCACCATGAGATGCTCCAGGCTCCTCCTGTATATTGTCCTGCCCCAGTCCTAGAATCAGTTGTTTCTCTAAGGAACCATGGCTCCTTTTTATTGGAGAACGGAATTAGAAACCAAGACCTGGAACTAGATGTGCTCATTGCTACTGGGATATTAACGCTTCTAGGCCCTCTGAGCTGAGACAGCAAGAAAATATATGTGGGTATGCCAACTCATGTATACAGTATACACGTATCTATAAATATTTCTATATGTATCCATCTGTGTGTACATTAAGCTAAACATGAGTCATGTGGATTACTACGTGGATCATTCTAGCCTTCTTCTTTTGCTTATCTGTAACCTCCCACTCCAACAGAAAGAAACCTGTTTCCCACCATTAGGCATCCACTCACCTAATTCCATTATACATATATCATGGTTTCAGGATTGTTAACCTGTGACTTGTGGAAAAACTTTATCTAGGAGAGTACCATGCTTATATACAGTTTCTTTGGTCTTCAGTCTTGTAATCTACACTCACTTCCAAAGTTATTTAGATCATCCACTCCCCCTTCCCACAACCTTTTTCTGTGAGGTTTTCTCAAACATTTGTAACGCAGTTAGATTCTTTTGTCTCCATCCCACCCTGACATACCTTGACCTTCGAAATAATATTTTTTAAATTTGCATGACTTAAGGTTCCTTCTTTGTACTGTCAAATACTATGCACTTGATGAAATTGTCTTCTGAAGTGGTTATATCATTTTGTATTCCCAACACCAATGAATGACAGTTCCTGCTGCTTTGAATTCTTGGCAGCAATTATCATTGTCAGTTTTTTGGATATTAACTACTATAGTAGGTGTGTAGTAGTGTTATTCATGTTATGTGTCCTTTTGTGTCTGGCTTATTCCATTGAGCTCAGTGTTTTCAAAGTTCATCCATGTTGCAATATGCATCAGGATTTTATTCCCTTTTAAGACTGAATAATATTTTATTGTATGGACAGATTATATTTTGTTTATCCTTTCATCTCCTGATGGCCACTTGGGTTATTTCTACCTTTTGGCTATTGTGAATAATGCTACTGTAATCACTGTATACAAGTATTTTTTGAGACCTTGCTTTCAATTCCTTTGGGTATGTACCTAAAAGTAGAACTGCTGGGATATATGGTAATTCTATGTTTAACTCTTTGGGAAACTGCCAAACCATTTTCCACAGGTGCTACACCATTTTAAATTTCCACTATTAATGCATTTTTCTTCACTTTTATAGGTTAATTTCATGGTATAGAGCATTCTAGGTTAGTGTTTTCTTTTTCTAAACAATTTAAATATTTCATTCTACCCTTTTCTTGCTTGCATGTAATTCTTATCCTTGTTTATCTATAGGTAACTTTTTTTTCCTTCTGCCTTCTTTCAGTATTATTTGTTTTGACTTTCTGCAGTTTGAATATAAGCCTAGGCATAGGCATTGCTATTTTTTTTTTTTTTTGTATTTATTCTGTTTGGTGTTCTTGGAGCTTCCTGAATCCATGCTTTGGGTCTCATGAATTTTGGAAAGTCCTCAGCCATTTTTACTTCAAATATTTCTTTTGCTTTGTTTTCTCTTGCTTGTCCTTCTGGCATTCCAATTATGTATATATTGCAGATCTATCTATGTATCTATGTACATATCTATGTATCATTTCCTTTTGATATTGTCACACAGTTTTGAATGTTCTGCTCTGTTTTTTCTTTCTTTTTTTTTTTGTCTTTACATTTCAGTTTAGGAAGTTTATATTGACCTATCTTCAAGTTCACCGAATCTTACCTTGGCCTTGTCAGTCTACCAATGAGCTCACTGGAGGCATTTTTCCTTTTTGTGACTGGGTGTTTGATTTGTAGCATCCTTCCTTAGAGTTTCCATCTCTCTGCTTACCTCCCCATCTCTTCCAAGTGATCTACTTTTTAAATTTCAATGCTTAACATATTAATAATCATTTTTAAAAATTCCCTGTCTAACCATTACAAGATCTGAATAAAACCTGAGTATGTTTCTCATAACTGCGTTCTCTCTGGAGACTGTTTTGCCTGCCTTGTGGCATGCCTTGCAATACGTTGTTGAAAGCCATATGTGTTGTATTGGGTAGAAATTGAGGTAAATAAGCTATCTGAGGATGAATACGTTGAACTGGCTGTGAGTGGGCTGTGCTTAATGTCTGCTGCAGCTGTGTGCACCATAGGCATCAAGTACCTCCAAGTCCTTGTTGTGTCTCTCCTCTTGACTTTGGGTTTCCCTATGTGCTTCTCCTCAAACAGTCTGTGTCTTATAGCTCTTTTGGTTATAATCCACTGTTATTATACTGGAGCCTTGTTGGTGTGGTGGTAGAAGGTGGGAGAGGGAGATTGTTTCATAATTTTCCAATTACTCATCAGTGTTTTGATGGGCCTTTGTCTTGGAGCTGCGACCTTCATAAGTATTCCTCCCATGGTGTAGGTGTAGCTTTTTGCCCTCTTTCCCCTTCCCCTACTCCATCTCATGGCTGCAGCACCCTGAACAATTTCTCTGAAGCCTTGACCCTTGTTGACTGCTTTCTGCCTTAACCTTCATTAGGTGAGACAGGAAGGCTACTGTGGGCTGATATGGGGAGTATCTCCCTCCTCCATCTGGGATAAGGTATGGGAGTTGGGCTCTGGCCAAGTCCTTTCACCTGGAGTGTAGGCATTTTGTTGTAGGACTTTCTCCTTAGTTCAGCTAAAACTCAGGTTCTTGTCATACGGTCATGAAAGCTTAGGCTCGCAGAGACTTTGAAGGGTGAGAAAAATGGAATTTATTGGGTGAAAAGGAAAAAAAAAAAAAGGGAAACAGGGACTCTCAGCAAAGCAAGAATCCTGCTAACCAGTTTCTCGCCTCACAGATTGAATTCCAGATTACCACCCAGACCAGGAGAGGCCAGTCTCCTCCCCCCTGCAAAAGACGACTTGAACTTCCCAAGGCTCCACCCTGGTGTGCACTCCTCCCAGTGCACAGGCCTGTGGGAAGTTCTGCCAGGGAGCCCTTTTTACCTGGCTGTCTCAATTTGTTATGGAGAAGGCTCTGGGCATATTTCACAATGATTACTCTTCCCCTCCCCTTGACAGAGCCTTGAAAAGATCTTTGTTGGGTCCTCACTATGAGAAGAACCTTGTAGGGTTCTTGGAGGTAAAGCCCACAAATGCCTGCAGGTCCTCCTAGAGCTGCAGGGTATCCAGGAGTTTCTCACCCTTGTGCTAGTTCACACCCAACCTCCAGAAGTTTGTCACGACTGCCATTTAAGTATTCCTAGCAATCCATGGCTCTAGTTGCTTCTCCTCCAGCTCAGAAGATCTCTGTTACTTTCCCCTGGATGTGCCTATCTCTCCTAATTTGGAGATGTTGATTTGGCCAATGAGCTCAGTTCTGTTAGGCCAAAAAGCAATATTGGTTTCCAGTTTGCCCAGCTTCTCGCTGTAAGGATGGGAGTGGCAACTTCTAAGATCTTTTCATGTGAGAGCTGAAACTGGAAGTCTCTGGTTTAAATTTTTAGTCTTTTGTTTTGAGGACTAGGCTCTGATTTGTTTTATCTTGCCCACATTTCTATCTAAGGGGTCTGGGGAGTCATGCCCTACAAACCATAAGTTCTCATCAGATTTTTTTTTTTTTTTAAATCCTGTATATTATGACTTACTTTCCAATCTGACTCTGACTCTGGCATAACAAGGAAGAAAATAAAAATATTTTACCCCAAATCATGTTTCTCTGCCATATCTTGAAATGGCCCTGCAAAGCCATCCTTTGTGGGGGAAAATCTGCATCTGTAAAGAATCTCTATTAACATAGCTAGATTTTTTTTTCCAGGCTCTCCCAATCCTGAAGAGATTAACTAAAAGTCTAGCACCTTTTAAAGATCTGAATAGGAAAATTTGTCATTTATTGTCTCTCAGAGCAGCCACTATAAGACTTCAAAAGAACTTTGGTCTCTACAATCTTTTATCTTAACCTGAACATTTCCTTTCTATAGATCCCAGGTCTTCCCACCAATTGTCAACCAGAAAATATTTACATTTACCTATATCCTGGAAGTGACAGCCACCCCCAGCCCGCACCCCCTCCACCACTCCCCTTTGAGTTGTCCCGCCTTTTTGAACCAAACCAATGTACTTCTTAAATGTATTTGATTGATGTCTCATGCCTCCCTAAAACATAACAAGCCAAGCTGTACCCCAACCACCTTGGGTACATGTTCTCAGGACCTCCTCATGTACCTCATATTTGGGTCAGAATAAATCTCTTAAAATATTTAAAATCTCTATGTGTCACTCATATTTGGGTCAGAATAAATCTCTTAAAATATTTTACAGTTTGACTCTTTTTGTCAACAGATTCTTATATTTTCAAACTTTTTTCTTTTTTCAAAACACATTTTTTTACAAAAATCAATTGTATCACTACACATTAGCAATAAGCAATCTGAAAATGAAATTAAGAAAATAATTCCACTTATAAAAGCACCAAAGAACAAAATACTTAGGAACAAATATAACCAAGTAAGTGCAAGATTTGTACACTGAAAACTACAAAATAGGGTTGAAAGAAATTAAAGAAGACCAAAAGTAACAAAGACTATATGTGTTCATGTATTGGAAGACTTCATATTGTTAAAATGGCAATATTCTCCAAATTGATCTCCATATTCAGTGCAATCTCTATCAAAATCCCAATCTTTTTTTTTTTTGCAGAAATGGATAAACTAATTTTCAGTTCATTGGAAATACAACAGACCATTGAATAGCCAAAATAATCTTGACAAAACTAATGTTCAGTTCATTGGAAATACAACAGACCATTGAATAGCCAAAACAATCTTGAAAAAGTACAAACTGGAAGACTTACATATCCTGATTTCAAGACTTATTACAAATCTACAGTAATCAAAATAGTGTTGTACTAGTATAAGGATAGACATATAGATTAATGGTTTAAGAATTTAGAAATAAGCCCATACATTTATAATCAGTTGGTTTTTGGTAAGAGTGCCAAGAACATTCAGTGGGTGAAAAAATAGTCTCTTTAATAAATGATGCTGGGATAACTGGAAAACCACATGTAAAAGAATGAAATTGAACTTCTGTCTCACTCTATATACAAAAATTAACTCAAAATAAATCAAAGACTGAAATGTAAGAGATAAAACTATAAAACTCTTAGAAATAAATGAGGTGTAAATTTTTACGACCTTTGATTAGGCAATGGTTTCTTAAATATAGCACCAAAAGCACAAACAGCAAAAGAAAAAGAGATGTTATACTTTGTCAAAAATTTAAACTTTCACTTATCAAATGATGCCATCAAGAAAGTGAAAAGACAACTTGTAGACTTGGAGAAAATATCTGCAAATAGTTTAGCTGATAGGAGTCTACTATCCAGAATATATAGAGAACTCTTACAACTCAACAACAAAAAGACAATCAAATATAATTGATTTTTGTAAAAAAATTCATGTATTAAAAATGGGCAAAGAATTTCAATAAACATGTCTCCAAAGATGATATGCAGGTGGCCAAGAAGCACATGAGGAGATGCTCAGCATCATTAGTCATCTGGGAAATGCAAATCAAAACATCCAGGAGACACCACCTCACACCAACTAGGATGGCTAAATAATAAACAAAACCAAAACCCAGAAAACAAGTATTGATGAGCGTCCAGAGAAATTGGAACCCTCATTTGTTGATGGTGGGAACATTAAATGGTGCAGCCTCTATGGAAAACAGTTTGGTAGTTCTTCAGAAAGTTAAACATAGAATTACCATATGACTCAGCATTTCCACTACTAAGTGTATGCCCCCCACAACTGAAAACATCTTCCAACAAAAATCTGTACACAAATGTTCATAGCAGCATTATTAATAATGTCCAAAAAGTGGAAACAACTCAAATGTTCATCAACCAATGAAGAGAGAAACAAAAGGTATATATCCCTACAATAGAGCATCATTCAACCATAAAGAGGAATGAAATATGGATACAAATTACAACTTGAAAACATTATGTTCAGTGAAAGAAGCTAGTAAGAAAAAAATCACATATTGATTCAATGTAGATAAAATGTTCAAACGGGCAAATCCACTGAGACAAAAAGACTAGTGGCTGTCAGTAAATGGGGAGGGGAGCATTGGGATATATGAGTTTTCTTTTTGGGGTGATGAAAATATTTTGGAATTAGACAGCACTGATGGTTCCATAATACTGTAAACATGCCAAAAACTATTGAAATGTTTAATAGTGTTCAACCCTTTAATATGGTTAAAACGGTGAATTTTGTGATGTGAATTTTATCTCAAAAACAATTTTTTAAAAACATTCATAATAGTTATTTTATATTCTGCATCTGTTAATTCAAAATTCTGAAGTCTTTGTTGATCTGATTCTGCTATTTTTGTCTTTGCTTCACTCATGATGTTATTTTCATGTGTATTTTCTAAGTTTTGACTGCAAGCTGGTCTTTTTCCTTGGAGTGTCGTTTGTGGAATTAATTTGAAAATTTGATTGAAATTGTGTTTTTTTCAGAGTAATTTCGCATTTATTTCTTGCAGATACTGAAAACCTGGGACGAATTGAAAATAAGTTTGAGTTTGTTTTTGTACTCTCAGTTATTGTGGATTAGATCACAGGCCCACGAGAGCTTATTTTTTGGTTATGCATTCTCAAGGGAAATTCCTTCTCTCTTTTACCTAGTGCCAAAGTCAAGATAAGTTTCCTTGATGTCTTCTTCTCAATGACCAGTTTATTTCTCTCCATCTTTACCATCAGGCACAGTTCTTCCATATCTCACGTGGTGATTCTTCTTTTAGCCTCCTGATGTTTGGTGAGTCCTAGGCTTCATCTCTTCTTCTCTCCAATCTTGCCATCATCAGAGTGTAAACTCAATATATTCAGGGTTCAGCAGAAACCTTCACAAAGAAAGAGCTAGCTTTGGTGTTTTCTTGTCTTCAGGGTTCCTGCTTTTATTTTATTTTTGGTCATTGTGGATTGTTTCCCTTCTGCCAACTCATTGAAAAGGACATTTAGCAAGTCTTAACCTTTATTTTAGTGGTTTCAGTGGGAGAGTTGTTCAATCTAACTCCTTAACCATTTCACCAAAAATAAAAGTAGAGGTTCATATTTTGACCTTGTTATTGGTTAGAAGAGGGTCCCTGTTGTTGGTTTCCTACAAGTCAACTGCATACGTGGGTCAGAAGCACCGACACAATACTCAGGTGCTTCTTGCCTTCTACTTAGCCAGTGTCATCAGCCTAGGCTGAGGGATGGGGAAGAAGAATGCAAGGCACATGCTCAGTGATCCTGGACAAACTCTGGCCTTTGCCGTGCTCTGGTGATGGGCTGCTGTTGAACTCGGGGCCACGCAACAAAGGCTTCACCTGAAAGCTGTGCAGTCTTCTTTCCCATGGGTAGAAAGGTCTGAAATAAGCACTTTGACCTGTTTAACTCCAAATCATTGTCTCTCTATCCAGAGGATGTCCATACCAGGACAGTAGTACATGGGGTTGGGCAGCAGGTAGGTGGGAAGTTTTTTCTTCCAGACACATTATCTCTCTCCGCTGCTCTTGCCATCTGCATTATTTGGTAGATCAGTCTCTATTTGAAAGCCTCCTCATCACCCGTTCAGTTTCCAATCCAATTCCACCTGGCTTCTATCCCATTCCACTCCAGAGAAACACCTTTCACCATGTTCATTAATTATCTTTTAGTTTATTCAAAATTTACTTCCCATTCTCATCTCACTTGGCCTCTCGTCACTGGATGCTGCTGAACACCTCCTCCTTCCTGAAATTCTTACATGCCTTAGCTTCCTGGTTTTCCTCCTATCTCTATAGCCATTTCCTCTCAGGGAAATAGTTTCTTTCTCTCTAAATGACATATATCTTCCTTTCTTTCCTTTATTTATTTATTTTCCAAGGACAGGGTCTCACTCTGTCGCTTGGGCTGGAGTGCAGTGGTGTGATCACAGCTCACTGTAACCCTGAACATGTGGGCTCAAGGGAGCCTCCTGCCTCAGCCTCCCAAGTAGCTGGGATTACAGGCTTGTGCCACAATGCCTGGGTAATTTTTAAATGTTTTGTTGACCCAGGGTCTTGCTATGTTGCCTTGGCTGGTCTTTAATTCCTGGCCTCAAGCGATCCTCCTGCCTTAGCCTTACAAAGTGTTGGGATTAGAGGATTAGAGGCATAAGCCACTGCACCCAACCCACCAAATAACATTTTTCTTATTCTCTAGGCATCCTCCCATTCTTCCATCTCCATCTTTTTAACAAATACTTAACAAGCTCTGTGTTTGAGACAGAATTGACAAGTGAATAAGATAGGCATGGTCCCTGCTTTAAAGTGTTTGCAATCTAGTGTGGTATAAACAAATATTAAAGTGAGTTATGGGAATACATCACCAGGGACCCTAGTCAGTTCTGGGAGGTTGACCTCAAAACTCATATCTAAAAGATAAGTCATAGCCAGTTGGCCATTGTGAGTAGTCAGGTATGGGAAGCAGCACATTCAAAGACCCAAAGGCAAGAGAGAATGTGTGTTTGAGGGCTTGAAAGCAGCCTGGCATGGACAGAGCAAAGGGAGGAGTGGTGAGAGATGAAGCTGGAGAGGTAGGCAGGAGTCACGTTCATAGTCTTGTGTGCAGGTATGGAGAATGAATTGAAGGCTGGCCAGAAGGAAAGTGGCGAGAGTAGTTTGGAGCCCGTTGTAGAACCTCAGAAGGGAGATAAGGATGATTTGGCCAAGGGTGGTGCAGTGTGCCAAATAAAAACAAATCCAAGTTAGGTAAGGGGGGACTTTATTGAAAAGGATGATTGCAGTGGGGGGTAAGGAGAACTATTGCAAGAGAGAGAATCTCTGACCGTGACATTTGTAAGTGGATCCCAGGAAAAAGGCTTTTCTTTTGTAGGGAGGAGTGAATAAAGCTGGAAAGAACTGGGTGTGGGGAAGTGGGATGAACTGGGGCAGGTGGAGGGATCAGACATTAAATCTGAGAATGCTTTATCCTGGGGTCAGCCTGTTCTCAGGAGGGTCCTCAGGCTGAGGGTGGGTCAATGTTAGGGACTGAAGAAAAGAAAGAAACCTAACTAAAGTTTGGTCAAATAAGATTAATGGGCATCTTATTTTGATTGATCAGTGGGGACACACAGTTCATGTAATGGTTTATGAAGCAAAGAGTGGAATTGGAGGGTCTGAGCCTGACTTTGCCATAGTAAACAAAGGTGGGTGGGGGGTATCTGAGGGTCTTATCTAAGTTATAGAAGAGGATTCTTTGCAATAAGTCATTTTCCAGAGCACAAAAGAGTAGGAAATCTCTTAATCACCACTGTTCTCTAGAAGCATGGGACTCAAGTAAAAGTCAACATTGTAAAGTGGGTTGGAGGGAGTAAACTTACTTAAGAAATAATCAGCAGTAGGTAGGTTCACAGGTTGTGCTGATAGATTGAATGTCAGAATGAAGAAAAGAGAAGCATTAAGGATGTCTCGAAGTCTCTGACTTAGGGACTGAGTGAGTGACAGTGTGCAAATGAAGACAGTGACATAGAAATAAAAAGTAATTTGGTATGATGGCAAAATGGAGGAGATACCCATAGATACTGTCAGTTTCTCGTCTACTCATACCCTCTTGGTCACCACATTATTTCCGTCTTATCTCTTAAATGTGTCTTGAAGCCAACTGCTCTGCTCCTGCCTTAGTTCACACTTCCATCCTCTGTTGCCTGCACTATTAAATTCACTTTCTAACCAGGCTCTTTGCACCCAGGTGTGTTCTCACAATCCCACACGCATCTTCCACAGTCTGCTGGGATAACATATCTAGATGGATTACAGCATGCCACTCATGCTTTCAAATCTTCCCAGTTGCACATGTGTGTGGGCCTCCAATAGACTTTATTCCTTAGTCTCCTTAAACTTAAGGAGAGTTTGGAATGATAAATACAGGTTTTAAGACATATCTCACCCTGGCCCCTCCCTAAATGAGTTACTGTTCCTCTTTAGAAATTTATCTTTACCTTTTATTTCCTTTAATAATTTTTGTTCCTTTGTAATTTCTTTCATTGGATTTTGAGTCCCTTTAAGGAAGGTCCAGCGTCCTTAACTTTTGTCTCCTCAGTGCGAACAGAGTGGCTTGCAACTAGTAGGTGCTCAATAAATCTTTGTTGAACTTTTGATTAAACTCTAGGTGCATAGAGATCTCCTTGAGGTTGTTTTATACCAGCTTCTTCAGCTCCACTTTACCCGTAAGTAAGGAACTCTCTCTCCTATTGTGATTTGAGAGGAATTGTGAATTTCCACACTCTGTGATATTTTCAATCTCTCCATAAACCCTTCCTTTACTTCTTTTAAGATTTTCTCTCTTTCCTCTTGCCTCTCTAGAAGTGACATTTGAGAGGGGAGCCACAATAGCCCCAGACCTGTGAGTGTCAAGGAGTCGATCTGGTAGCTTTTCTCGTTGGCAGGAGGGAGTATTTTGTGTTTGGGGAGTGGGCAAACAGGCAGAAGGAGGGAGTGGAGAATGCTAAAAACAAACTGGATTTGAATCTCTGTAGGTGGTCCTTTTAGAAGCATTATTTTTTACTGGTAATTCACGACACCCATTACTATTACTACAGGCATTAGCATTGAATGGCGGATTTCAAACTGTGTTCTGTGGAGCCTTAGCCTTCACTGAGGGTGCTTCTGAGACTTCTACCCCTGGTGAGTGGGGGTGGTACCCAGGGAATAGGGTCCCAGGCCTCTCACCATTGGCCCCATTCAGCCAGGGTGCCTCACTGGATTCAAACCTGGAACACACCTGCCCCATCTTAGCTGGTAATCTATGGATACCTACTTGATTTTTATTTGTTTTTAATGTTCCCATCCTCCCTGGGAATGACAGGTTCTGTTTTTCCCTTCAACTATTTTAGCACATGGAGTTCACAACTCATTCCAGCTACAATGGGAAATGTTTAGTCCCGACTCCCCTTGCACAGTCTTTCCCACTAGGCTCCTGGTTCTGAAGATTGGCAGGAGGGGCCTGATTCTATTTCCCAAGATGTATAAGGTGTCAAAAGAGGCTCTAGAAATCTCAGAAACAGACCAGATAAAGAGTTTTTAAAGCAGGCTCTTTTGAGATCTAGGGTATTGAAAAGGCACTTAGGGTCTCCCCGGGGTGCTGTGGACATCACCCACATCTGTGCTTTAGCCAAGCCGTGCTCCTTTTATCTCTTAATTACTGGGACTTTATGGAATATTTCACTTGGAAGCAGGGTTCTACTGCTAATGGGAGTTTGAGGCCTAGAAGATCATTAAAGCCTTTTTCAGCTAAGATATGCCCATGTTCTTTCTTATGAAGCAATAATGAGGGGGACATTGTTATCGTCTTTTCATTGTACGGAACATAAATGATCACTCATGAGGCACAGGGGGTTGAGCCCTGGATGGCTTTGCCACAGAACAGCAGATCTGAGTCCCTCATACATAAGAAATAGAATCTTAGTTGTTAGGAATGCATGGTGCACTCGACTTCACGAACATGCGTTTTAATGCCAGTGTCAGGGCAAACTTCTACCAGCTGTCTAAACATTTACAGAACAAAATAATAGCATGCAAGATATGTAGGTTTCAGATATTTGTCATCTTAAAACAGCACTTAGTCATTAACTTAATCACAGCTGCTATATGCCAGCCAGTGTACTTTGTTTGTAAACAACACATCTGCTACAGGCAGGAATTGGGAGCTCGGCTGTGGTCGTGCGTAGCAGCCTGGTTAATGCTGGGATGTGCATCTTGAGTGTCTGAAACACATGGGCGCCATGCCTCAGACCAAACCTGCTGACTCTAGTGGGGAACAATTTAGGGTTTATTTCCTCCCAGGTGCTGCTTTTGTGGTTTTTCTCTCAACAGACTTAGATGCTTAATTTGGAGAGATGTCCTGATGTCCACAGTCATGGGTTCATTTGAAATGAGACATAGCCTCCCAAATAGTTGCTTTCGCGTTGTTATGGACTATTTACCACCCTTTCAAATTCATATGTTGAAGCCCTCACCTGCACTGTGACTATATTTGGAGGCAGGGCCTGTGAGAAGGTGATGAAGGTTACCTGAATCACAGGAGTGGGGCCCTAATGTGATGGCCCATTGTCCATATGAGAAGAGGAAGAGACCCCAGAGCTTGCTCTTTCTGCCATGTGAGGACGTGGTGAGGGTGGTCACCTGCAAGCGAGGAAGAGAACTCTCACCAAGAACCAGATTGGCTGGCACCTTGATCTTGGACTTCCCAGCCTCCAGAACTGTGAGAAATAAATTTCTGATGTTTAAGCCACCCAATCTGTGGTATCTTATTATGGCAACCAAAGCTAATAATCCTTATTTTCCTTCTCTAAATTCCTGGGTCTAACTTTTTCTTAATGCCAGTAGCATTGGGACTTCCAACGTCTTAATCTTTGCTTCTCATTTCTCGGCAGCTATTTCAACACATCTTATTGGGCCATGCCATTTGTTTTCTTCCTTTGGTATTAAGTGAAGTTCTTAGTCTCTGCTTGAGAGAAAGTACCTTGACTTCTTGTGGGTTCCTGTAACATGGCTTAAGCCATTTGTGCTCATTGTTTCTGTGTGTTCAGGCCCAAGGGATTTAGAATGACTTGTTTAGACTTTAAGTTGTGTGGTTGACACTGTTAGTTGTCTATGTGATAACCATCCCCCCGTCTTGCTGAAAAACAAAACAAAACAAAAAAAACCCGATTTTGCTCTGGGCAGCAATATATCCCAGCCCTAACACAAGAAATCAAAATTGGTCTAAATCAAGATTGAAATCCTTGATTCTGGCTTTCATTGAGATTGCTATGTGACCTAGTTCTGGCAAAAAATATTGAAGTGCAAGTCTGACAAGGAGTAGGCAGATGGAACTGGTACTTCCCTTGCCCTCTTTCTCCTGCCTTTTACATGGATATGTTGTGTGGGGCTGTGTTTTTGTGACCATGAGGCTGAAAGTCAGGATGATAAGGGTGGTGAAACAAAAAAGAAAGAGACCAGCTATGAGCATCATTGAACTGTTAAACAGTATCAGTAACTGCCTACTCTAGATTTCTTTTTCTAAGCATAATATCTTTGATATTCTTCTATATTGTACAGGGATTTGTTCCTTTCTATCCTGTGCATTCTATTAGGCAGATATATCACCACTATCCAATCTCCTATTGACGGAAATTTGAGTTGTTCCAGTTCTGGGGGATTATTAGTAAGTAATAAACATTCATATACAAGACTAATAATAAACATTCATGTACAAGATTTTTCTGGACATGTTCTCTTCCTTTATTGGGAGAAAATTTCCAGGGGTAGAATATCTGGGTTGCAAAATAAGTGTATGTTTAATTTTTATAAAAGAAATAGCTAAACTTTTTTTCCAAAGTGATTTTTCTATTTTTCATTCCCATCAGCAATGTATGAGAATTCCAATTGCTTCGCAAAAGTCGTCAACACTTGGTATTGTCAGTTGATTCATTTTAGCCATGGTGTGGGTGCCTAGTGGCATACATTGTCCTTTATATTTGCAATTCCCTAATGATGTTGAGCACTTTTTCATGTGACCATTGGCTGTGTGTGTGTATGTATATTTTTGGTGTGACGTGCTAGTTAGTCTTTTGCCCATCAAAATTAATTGGATTGTTTTTCTTTTTGTGATTGAGCTATAGGAGTTCATTATATGTTTGGGATGGAAGTCTTTTATCTGCTGTAGGTAAGGAAATAGTGGTTTGCTTATTGCCCCGCTCAAATAATTTCTGCCATGCCCCGGAGTCTGTGGACAGAAGTATCAACTCTCAGTCCTCGGGCTGGCTGTATCGTTGCCCCCACCCTGCAGCATCTCTTGCTCCCAGCAAGTTGGTTTCCTCATCAGCTTCCTGAAGTGCTGTGTTCTTTTCTGACTCCTGACAAAGACTGTTTTCTTCATTACACTCTACCCAGGCTCCCCTGAGCCCCTTTCCTCCATTAATCCCTGTATTCTGCGGTCAGTGTCCAATTTTGTCGAGAATTTTGCTAAGTCAGTTTAGCAAGAATCCTCCATCCTCGATATCTGAGCACCCTGATACCTGATAGGGTTCTTCATCCACCACCATCCCTCAGGTTGTGTGTGATCGCCCTGGTCTGTCTTCAGTAAGAATCATGCTGGGTGAGTTTAGCCAGAATCTTCCCTTCCCCGTGATGTTTCCTCTTAGTAATTTCCGTCCACTGACCCCCACTCTTCTCCTGGGCTATAAATTTCTACTTTTTCTTGTATTCAGAGTTGAGCTCAATCTTTCTCCCACCACAAAATCCCATTTCAGGGATCCTTATACCTATCATGATGGTCCTGAATAAAGTCTGCATTACATTTCTTTAAAAAGTATCACAAAATAAACTAGGCACAGAAAGATAAACATTGTATGTTCTCACTTATCTGTGGGATCTAAACATCAAAACAATTGAACTCATGGACATAGAGGGTAGAAGAATGGTTACCAGAGACTGGGAAGGGTAGTGAGGGGTTGAGAAGGAGATGGGGATGATTAATGGGTTAAAAAATAGAAAGAATGAATAAGACCTACTGCGTGATAGCACAATAGGGTGACTGTAATCAATAATAACTTAATAATAACTAAATTGTATTTTAAAATAAAGAGTGTAATTGGATTGTTTGTAATTCAAAGGATAAATGCTTGAGGGGATGGACACCCCATTCTCCATGATGTGCTTTTTTTATTATTATTATACTTTAAGTTCTAGGGTACATGTGTACAACGTGCAGGTTTGTTATATATGTATACATGTGCCATGTTGGTGTGCTGCACCCGTTAACTCGACATTAACATTAGGTATTTCTCCTAATGCTATCCCTCCCCCTACCCCTCACCCCATCCATGACAGGCCCTCATGATGTGCTTTTTTACATTCCCTGCCTTTATCAAAACATCTCATGTACCCCATAAATGTATATACATATAGTACTATATAGGTATATATACTTGTAGAACAATGTTTATAGTAGTATTCATAATAGTCAGATGGTTGAAACAACCCAAGTGTTTAGCAACAGATGAACGGTATATCCTTGACATGGAATATTATTTGGTTTTTAAAATAAATGAAATTCTGATAGTGCTGTAACATGAATGATCCTTGAAGACATTATGCTAAATGAAATAAGCTAGTCACGAAAAGACAAATATTGTATGATTCCACTCCTATGAGGAACCTCTTATAGTCAAATGTACAGAGATAAAAAGTAGATTAGAGGTTACCAGGGCCCTAAGGGTGGGAGAATGGGGAAGTATTGTTTAATGGGTACAGAGTTTCCGTTTTGGATGATGAAAATGTCTGGGAATGGGCAATGATGAGGGTTGTACAACATTTTGAATGGACTTAACGCTACAGAATTGTATACTTAAAAATGATTAAAACAGTAAATTTTATGTTAGGTGTATTTTATCATGGGAACTCCCCCCAGTATATCTAAACTGAAAGCAAGAAAGGGAAATCCGTAAGTGTCAAAATTAAAGACAGAATTAGGAGCAGCACGAAGAGGGTGGGTGAAAAGCCTTATAAGGCTGTGAGGCAGGTGGAGGCTGCTCTGTGCTGTAGGAAGTGATTTCAGCCTCAGCTGCACATTAAAATCAACTGGAGAGCTTCCAAAAGCCCTGGTGTCTGGACCTCAACCCCAGAAATTCTGATTTAATTGGGTTGGGGGTGACCTGAGCTTCCTGTATAACTAGCTTCTGGGAATTCCCATGGATTTGAAAGCTCTCTGAATATGAGTTTGCAGCCAACATGACAAATCGTATGAGGAAGGGAGGGAGGGTAGGGCCAAAGCAAAAGAAAACAGGACAGTATAAAAGATAACTTAAAAGTAAGTGTGTTTTAAGCATTCAAAGATTTAAATGAAGGAATAGGAACCAGAGTAGGAACATGACACTGTGACAAGATTTGAAAGAGAACTGAATAAAAATAAAAACTCTGCAAAGTAAATTAGCGAGACCAAAAGACGGAAAATTTGAGAGCATTTATAGGGCTTGGGACAGAGTAAGCCAGTTCCAAGATATGCCTAATAGACATTCCTGGATGACAGAACAGAGAGGATGGAGGAGAGATGCAATGGGGGAATATTCCGTATCAAGGAAAGATGCAAATTCTCAGATTGAAGGAACACACTGTCCTGAAAGATCCCAGATGAATTAAAGTTAAACTGTAAAAAATCAAAAACAAAGAGAAGATCCTCCACTCTGCCTGAGAAAGAAGACAATGACTTAGAAAGATGCCCGTGGGGACAGCTGCTGTCCCCAGCAGCAAGAGGGGGTAAAAGTGGTCTTTAAGAGGTCGGGGAAAAACACACATTGTTCTTGTAATTCAAGAGTTAAGGCAAAATTAGACACTTTCATATCTACAAAGAGAAAGAAAATGTCTGGTCTCCTCTAAAGGAACTAACAAAGGCTGTATGTTTGTAGAACAGACATTGTACAATTTTTTAAATTAAATTCAAGTATTACATGTTAATGCTTGTGAGATGAGATGAACCATTTATTTAGAGAGAAATGTGTAGCCTTACATGCATGAGTTAGAAAACAAAACAAAAAATAAAATAAACAAATAAGTATCCAAATCAAGAAAATGGACAAAAAATCAAACTAAAACCAAACAGAGTAAACCCAAGCAGAAGGGAAAATACAATAAGGATAAAGTCAGAAATTAATGAACTATGCTGGTCAAATGATTATTATGCAGCATATCTAGGTATCTACGCATGTATGTATCTATGTATCTCTCCCCTTTGGAAATCAATAAAAAAGCAAAAAATTATATAAAAGAGAGTAAAATTTATGAGCAAGCATTTCACATGAACAGAAACTTTAATGGTTAATGAGCATGAAAATATGCTCAGCCTCACTCTGCTCATTGAAAAAATGTCAAGTAAGAAAACATTGAGATACCATTTCACACCCATCAAATTATCAAACATTAAAAAGGAAAATTTGTCAGTACAAATAAGGACATGGGGAAGCAGGAACTCACTTCTGCTGCTGACAGGAATGTTGATTACTATCGTGACTTAAGAGAGCAATTGGGCAGCTTCCTGGTAAAGCAGAGGAGGTACACACCCAGCATTTCTACTTCAGCTGAGTGCCTCTGATGCTCGCTGCAAGATGGATTTTGTTATAGCAAAAAATTGGAACTTAGATGTCCACCAACAGAGTTAAGGATAAATTATTATCTGGAATCTCCTGAATGTTATACAATATTTAAGATGAATGACCTATATCAGTATGTACCAACCTGGGCTGATGTTAAAAACAATGTTGATATGCTAAATGAAATAAGCCAGAGACAGAAGGACAGAAATTGTGTGATTATTACATTTATGTGAGGTACCTAGAATAGTCAAATTCATAGAGACAGAAAGTGGAATGGCGATTGCCAGGGGCTATGGAGAGGGAAGAAATAGGGGAGTATTGTTTGATGGGTGCAGAGTTTCTATTTAGAATGATGAAAAAGTTCTAGAAATGGATGTGATGGCTACAGAACATTGTGGATATACTTGATGTTACTAAATTGGATGCATAAAAATAGTTAAAATAGGCATCTTATGTATATTTACAATAAAAACATTAAAAATCCATAACGTGGAGTGGAGAAAGAAATTTGTAGAAAGGTATATATATTTTAAGATAACTAAGATTGTTTATGATACATGCATATGTATTGAAAGTATAACTCATGAATGGCCAGGGTGTACACAGTTGCAAGACAGTGGTTTTACCGGAGAGGGAAAGAGCCAAGTGGGAAGCCTCAACTGCGTGTGATATTTCTTAAAAAGTCAAAGATCTGAAGGAAACATAACAAAATATCGATACATAATTCTTAGCGGTGGTACATGCACCTTTGAAATATTTACATTAAAGAAATCACCAGGACCATGGTTTGGGGAAATTTCCTGATAATTTAGTCGACCATTTCCAACATTTACAGGATCGCCTGGTGATGGGTTGGAGGTGGAGAGGGAGGTACTGCACATCTCTCAAACATCTGTTGACATCTTTCTTACCCCAAGAAATTTAATCACCAGACATTTCCTTGTATTATGGTGGACCAGGTGTGAGAAGAGCGGTCCTCGTATTTTGCCAAATGAAGGTGAGCCAGTTTTCATGGAAGACCTTCCACACAAGGTCCTCCAGGGAAGGGAATCATCTGGGGCCTTCTGGCTGGCTGAATTGTACATGGATTCTAGCTAACCGTAAATAACCATGAACAAAGAATATCTCAGTAGCCAATATTTTTCTCTGCTGGTATCAAATGAAATTCATTTGGTATCAGCTGGAGTTTTTATAGTGCTAATGGAAGTTATTTTCAGTTATCACGTCAGTCCATAAGTATACAAAGGCAGCAATTTCACTGGAAATCTGGAGATCAGTTTGTATGTAGGGTGTATGCTTTAGACTATTTCTGCAGTGTAAGCTTTTATCTTAAGAAATGTGGGGAATCATAAATAAAAAGGGAATGATGAAACAGAACATCCAACAAGGGCGAAGGGCGGGCTTGGAAACGTTTCATAGCATGAACATCTGAACTCCAAGATGTGGTGATGTCCAGGAAGCCCTGGGCGCGATAGGGAGCCCACGCATCTGAGAGCTCATTCCCCCGAATGTTAGTTAGCGCCCCTCCCCATTCCAACGATAGCTCTTTAAATACTGACAGTGTTTGCTTCTGTGCAGCCTCTATTTGATCTCATTCCATGGGGTAGAGGAACGGAGCCGGAACCATCAATTTTTGTTTTTTAATAAACTCGTGTAATTTGACCATACCACCACCAGGTACAAGAATGACAATGGAGCCCTGTAAATAAAAATCTGCTCCCTGCAGGATTTTAATTATTTATATTCTTTCAGCAAACAGAACCCCTGTCTGTTGTTGATGATAGCATGTGCATACATTTAAGGATCAAAATGCAGTGCCAAGGTTGTTTAGCCCAGGGAGGGGCAATTTAATTTTTTCCCCCTATGAACATGGAAATGCTGAATGCCTGATATGGTTGTGCTAAATATCATAGCTAGTAGCATTGCAGACAACTTGTTTTGTAGTAAGAACTCAGAGCTTAAGGGATTTTTTTTCTCCCTGTAAAGGCCAAAGGTAGGGTCATCTGACTCCCTTACTACGTTACATGTCCAACCGTTGATAGAACACTGCTTTTAGAAGGAATAAGCAAGAACTGTCCCCTAAAATGGTTAAAATAATAAATTTTTATGTGATGTATGTTTCATCACAATGTGTTTACCATGGTACAAATGGATAAAAAAAAATCAGTAAGCAAGTGAACAAGGTTAGTTCACACATGTTAGTTAGGCACGGAACACTATGCCAGGTACTGGGTGGGGGATGGTAAAGATTGCTTGGGATAGCAATGCTGTCTCTATTCCTTAAAAAAATTAAACCAACATATAATAATTGTACATATTTATGGGTACATAGTGATGTTATGATACATATAATGTGTAATAATTAGATCAAGGTTATTAGCTACCCATTATCTAATACATTTATCATTTCTTTGTGTTGGAAACATTCAATGTCCCCCTTCTAGCTATTTGGAACTATAATTAACATATTATTTTAACTACAGTCATCCTACATCCGTGCTATAGAACACTAGAACTTATTCTCCCTATACAGCTGTAACTATATCCTTTAAAACTCTCTCCTGATTTTCCCCTTCTCTCTACCCTTCTCAGCAGGCATTCTCCCTTCTACGAGTCATTCCTTTTTATAGCTGCTTTCTCTTATGATCCTTTCCTAGCTCTGAGTAGAGTCCCCGGCTAACAGTGGGCGGACAGATGTTTATTGAATAAAATAAAAGATATGCTCCCTGCTCTTGAAGAGCAGGGCAGAAAGAACATTGTTTTCCAAAAAAATCTAAGGGGGATTATTTATTTGCATGTATCCATCATTTGTTTGAGTGCATCTGAGCCCAGGTCATGGGTGTGCAGTGGGGGCTGTCAGGGCCCCACCCAGATCCAGTCACTGAGCCAGTTCACCTGCCCCAGCTTCTGGGAGCCTTGGTGTCCACAGCTCACAGTTACCCTTGGCCAGACAAGAGCCACTGTTTACCAGCTTCAGATGGCTGCATCCTTGCTTTCTTTATTTTTCAGTCCTATCCCACAATTCTCCTGCTCCTCCTGTGACCTGTCACCCGATAAATCACTCCAGTGAGTCCTCTTCTGAGACTTTGCTTCTAGGAGAGCTGACCAACGACAGCGTTTAAAAGGCGTTCCCTACATACTGAATGAATGAATGAGCACTCCTTTGGTCATCTCTGACGGAAATCACTGCATCCAGGGCCCCAAGTTGGTGCAAAATCCAGGGGTTATAAGAGTGGGATGATCAAGCACAGAATCTGAGGGCAGTAGGGGTTGAGAGAATGTGGGCAGGGAAGAAAAAATTAGGGCATTTTTTTTTTCTTGGTTTCACTCCTAAACTTGAAGATATAGCACAAATCCACATCACTCCCAGCCTCTCAAAATATTGTTATTTCTTCCACTTCCCTTATCATGCAATAAGATAAGGTTTTTGGGAACAAATGGTTTTGAGACAATTTTGTGGTCCAGGAGATACAGGAACACTTATCCCTCCAATCATTGCATGTCTTACACTGCATTCTGTTTTGTAGTTGCTACTTTATACAAACAATTCAGAAGGGTCATGCACCTTCAAATCACTAGCATGAATGCCAGATGTATAATATGATGTTAAATTTTTTTGATTGTTAAAAACCATTTATCACTTGTGATTTAGTTGTTACGTCATTCAAAGCACCCAATTTATTGTCCTCTGCAGCTGACGTGATGCAACTGGCATCACAGTGTGCAGAGTTACGGTCTCCTTTGCATTTTCTTCGCAACTCCCCTGAGTATCTTCAAAGCAGGACCGATACTTCTGCCCCTCACCTCTTGTGTTGCAGATAGTTCTCACGAAAGAAGGGGGCGTTCTGGGCTGGACATTTCTTTTGTTCGGGGGGTGTCCTTTAATGAAGTTCTTTCTGACGCTGTGCTAGAGGGCTCAGAGTTTCAACTTCATCTAGTGTTTCAGAGTCTCAATCTTTGTAAACTGACATTCATCAACATTAACAAATATCACTGAAAACACCATTGCACACTTGGCTTTCCACAGTTTTTTTTTTTTCAAAGACCAGCTCTCTCTGTTGCCCAAGCTGGAGTGCAGTTGTGTAATCATATCTCACTGCAGCTTTATACAAATGAATGACGTAACAACGAAATCACAAATGATAAATGGTTTTCAAAATCAAAAAATTTAACATCATACTATACATCTGGCATTCATGCTGGTGATTTGAAGGTGCATGACCCTTCTGAATTGTTTGTATAAAGCAGGCTCCTGGGCTCCCACAATCCTCCAATCGTCCTGCCTCAGCTTCTTAGTAGTTGAAACTACATGTGACACCATGCCTGGCTAATGTTTTTTAGAATTTTTTTTTTTTTTTTTTTTTTTTGTAGAGACCTAGTTTCACTATGTTGCCCAGACTGGTCTCAAACTCCTGGACTCAAGCAACCCTCCTGCCTTGGCCTCCCAAAGTATCAATATTTTAAATAAAGACCAAACCAAAGGCTTTTGTGAAAACAGAATTTGTATCTCTTCTTCATTATGGCATGGATAGGATGCAAATATCAGCAGGGCTGCTGTCTTTGCCTCAATCTGCTCAATAGCTACCATTTCTGATTGTTTAAGTCATCCTGGTTATATTGGCTTTTTATTTTTTGTGGGGGACCTAGGGTTAGGGTTACCGTAAAATCATACCCAGATGCTGCACTTAAAATGCAAGCACTCAATTTTTAACTATGATGAGATTAGAAACTGTACATAATAAATAGAATTTTGAGAAAAATGTTGAAAAATACTCTGAGGAGGTCATTCTCTGGTGTGTGGCTTGTTTAGTCTAAACTCTGGAGCTCTGCAAATCCCCTGTATGATTTCATTGTTCTTTTCTTTCCTTTTCTTGTTTTTTTCTTTTCTTTTCTTTTCTTTTTTCAGATGGAGTCTCACTCCGTCACGCAGGCTGGAGTGCAGTGGCGCGATCTTGGCTCACTGCAACCTACGCCTCCGAGTTTAAGTGATTCTCATGCCTCACCCTCTGGAGTAGCTGAGGTTACAGGTGCCACCACGCCCAGCTAATTTTTGTACTTTTAGTAGAGACAGGGCTTCCCCATGTTGGCCAGGCTGGTCTCAAACTCCTGGCCTCAAGTGATCCGCCCACCTTGGCCTCCCAAGGTGCTGCGATTGCAGGCGTGAGCCACTGTGCCTGGCCATTGTCTTATTTCCTTATACACCACATTTGACCCTACCCCAATTCCTCATTCCCAACATTTTTTCCAATTGTAAATTTCTTGCTTTATGTTTCCTTTAAAATTATTTATTCACTTTATTTTACGTATATGTAAATTTTACATCTATTTTACATAAATAATACGTATATTTTACATATATAATTAACAGAATAATTATTATATATATTTTATATATATATATATCTCCATCCCCTCAAAGATTTATCCTTTGTGTTACAAACAGTTCAATTGTAATCTTTTAGTTACTTCAAAAGGTACAATTATTATATTATTGACTACAGTCACCCTGTTGTGCTATTTATTTATTTTAAATCAAACAATGCATAAATTTACTTTTGTGGCAAAAACAATAATATGAATCCCCTCCTCCCAATTCTACTTTCTACCACAGTGATCTTTCTTTGGCATGCATCCTTCTAGGCTCTTCTTTGCATTTATAACATATACGTAGCTCTGGGAAACAGTTGAAACTGCACCCCAAGAGGATGGAGGCCATATGAAAATGAGAAGGAGCTTCATTCACCTTGGGGGAAGCTCAAGGTGGCTTATGGCAATGGTCTCCACTGGAATATGCTTCGTAGGGGGTATAAGAACATGGAGAGTTTTAAAGAAATCAGTGTCTAGGTCCCTAAATTCTATAGGTCCTCTTTCCTAAAGCTCATTCCTGGAGCGCTTGCCTGAATTCACAATAGTTCTTCTTCCAACTGGTAAACAAAAAGGTGACCTCTAACCCATCTCAAATCTTATCCACAGATTAGAAGTCTGAAAATCTCTTCAGCCTCCTTTAAACGTTAGTAGAGACACATTGAACACATAGAGATTCCCTGTATTTCTCTGTCTTAATCACTATGCAATTAAGGGTGAAAATTGCTGTTCCAGCTCTGGGTTAGATGATCTGGTTCAGATATAGGAATAGTGGGAGTTAAGACATTTTTAATAATGGCTTTATCTCTTCCATCCCCCTCCTTTTGCCAAAAAATGTAAAATTCTGTGAGAGCAAAGCAAAGTGCACTTTAAGAAATATTGAGTGCTAAAAATGACCTTTTTCATTTATTTAACCATAAGCAATTCTTTTCAGCTATTCTTAGGACTCATTTTTAGTCTGCTTTATTAGCTGGAAAGCAGAGACTGCTTGTTGAAGAAGCTAACAGTAGGTTAGTATTGCAGAATCTTTTAAATGTCACTGGAAGGCATCTAAAACTACAAAAAATTTTAGGATACATTATATAAAACCCTTGGCTAAATCTTTATGTGATTTTTTTTTCAGATTTAGGATATGTTATCCAGTTAGGTAGTTAAAAATTATTTTGTCACATTATATGTATATAGTATTTAAGTATAATTAATCTTACTTCATGTTATAAAATGTTTAATATTTTCAACTTCTTGTTAACATAAAATATATATGCTAGCTTCTGAATGGATTTGCTTTTTAGCAGTTTTGCTTTAAGAGATAACTAATTTCCAATAATTAAATTTCTTTTAATATTTATTCACATTTTTAATATATTTACATTTTTGATCTTTTTTTTACTAATAATTTTAATGATTACACAATATGGAAAGAAGTTTTAATGCTTGAAACATGATCATAGAAAATAAAACATAAAAAAGTTTGATTGCTGTAAACAGGCTTTTATTGAATAAACTGTGGTAGTGGGATCAGTAGAAGACTTCCAAGCATTAAAATATATTAAGCTACAAGTCGGAATGAAGAGTAATGAAAATACAAATAAAAGACAGGAAAGGAAATGTAAACATTTCTAAGGTCAAGAAAGAGCTAGTTCATGTACTGTTAAACTGATAATAGTATTACTAAAAACTGTGAAGAGGCTGAGATTTTACCCTCATTGCAACCTACTAGGTTAGCCTGTAACAGGTTCATGGATGCTGGTAGAAGACGTGTGACTCCTGGATCAGAGACATAAGACTTCATTACTCAGGTTACAGAAGACAGCATGAGCTTCATGTTTGGGCTGATGTCCCCCATGCCTGGCAAGGTCCATGGTGCCATGGCTTTGTGTCTGTTTGCCTAGGCTAAACTGTTCCAGAATTCCCTTTACTGTGTATTTCTGGTTGATGTGGAAGATGTGCAGGGCTGAAGGGAAGTTGCAGCCATTTGTAGATGACCCTCACTGTTCCTCATCTACTGATTCACCTTGTTGATGTGAGGTAGTAACTGGGCCTGTAGGTATTGTATCCCATCTCCCTCTAGATCCTCTTTTAGCTTCTTTGACTCCAGGGCCAGATGTGTGTGTTCACCTCAGGGATGAAGGACTCTGGCTTCTGCAGGATACTGTCATCATCAGAGGCAGAAGCAACAGAAAAGGCAACTGTTTTCCAACAGATGGCTTTCAAACCATTATGAAATTTAGATTCCATTGCATATATTTAGAAGGATGTTGTAACTTTCATTTTTAAATTTCAGCATTTACAATATGCTAAATATCACATTCTTTACAACTATTTAAGCTTATAAAGCAAATGTTTAGATGTCAATTTAAAAGTGTTCACAGGGGTACATAATTTTTCAAAATAATTAAAGAGGTATGTGAGCAATGAAGTTTGAAGGCTTTTGGTTTATAGGATGGTCGTGGTTTTAGGATGGTTTTATAGGATGGTCAAATATAAGCATGTGGACCTTTGTGTTTTTTCTGGTGCCGTTTTGTGACATCTAACATTACTGTAGGGCTGGAGGCTGCTAGAACTCCAATTTCCCTCTTCTAGAAACAGTTCTGTGAGAGTGACTGTGATGGTTAATTTTATGTGTCAATTTGACAGGGTCATGGAATATGGGTGGGTATCACCCTTCCTGTTGAGGGCCTGAAATAGAACAAAAAGGTGAGGAATGTTGAAGTCATTCTTGGCCTGACTGCTTGAGCTGGAACATCAATCTTCTGGCGCTGGTGTTCCTGGTTTTCAGGCTGTCTGACTCGGGCTAGAATCTACACCATCAGCTGTCTGGCTCTCAGGACTTCAAACTATACCACCAGCTTTCCTGGCTCTCTAGCTCGTATATGGCAAATCGTGGAACGTTTCAGCCTTCATAATTGCATGAGCCAATATTTTATAATAATTTCTCTCTCTCCCTCCATATGTGGGTGTGTGTATGTGTATGTATATATATGCTTCATATTTGTGCTGGTCCCCCATATATGTCTCCATTCTATTGGTTATTGGTTCTGTTTCTCTGGAGAACCCTGAGAAATACAGTTGCAATGGACTGAATGTTTATGTGCACCCAAAATTTATATGTCAAAATCCTAACCTTCAAAGTGATGGTATTAGGAGGTGGGGCTTTTGGGAGGTGATTACGTTATGTGAGTGGATTCCTTATGAATAGGATTAGTGCCCTTATAAAAAAGACCACAGAGAAATCCCTCATCCCTTTTGCCATGTGAAGATCTGGGGAGAAGACAGCTGAGTATAAACAAGGAAGAGGGCCTTCCCCAGACAGGGAATCTGCTGGTGCCTTCATCTTGGACTTCTCGGCCTCCAGGGCTGTGAGAAATAAATTCTGTTGTTCATGAGCCACCCAGTCTGTGGCCTTTTATTAAGGCAGCTGAACAAACGAAGACAACGGTGGTGCCTAGAACATTACTTTGAGACGAAAACAGTTCAGTAGAAAATGTAGTCATTGGGGCAGGAAAAAATACTGTTTGTTGATGATCTTGATGTTGAAAAAAATTTCCCGCAAAGGATGTTACCAGAAGTGGTGTTGCAGTAACAGTGCTAGGTAACAATTCCGAGGAGGACAGGTATCTCAGTCTGTTTGTGCATCTATAACAAAATACCTGAGACTGGGTAATTTATAAACAATAGAAATTTATTGCTCACCGATCTGAAGGCTGGGAAGTCCAAGATTAAGGCACGTGCTGATTCAGTGCCTGGTGAGGGCTGTCTGCTTCCTAGATGGCACCTTCTTCCTGGTTCCTCACATGGTAGAAGGGGCAAACAAGCTCTCTCAGGCCACTTTTATAAGGACACTGATATCGCTTATGAGGTCTCTGTCCTCATGGTGTAATCACCTAAAAGCCCCACCTCCTAATATGATTGCATTGGGGATTATGTTTCAACATATAAATTTTGGGGGGACAGATCTCCAGTTCATAGCAGCAAGTGAGCTGGCAGTGAGTATGCTCCAGGCTAGACCATGCTCCAGGCAATGGACCAGGGGTGGACACTTGATCCACTGAGCCAATGAGAATTTCTCTCCAGGGAATTTGTAACAGGAGATATGAAGTCAGAAGAAATGGCTTGAGTTGTACTTTCTTTGTGACCAGGGGAAGTCACTTAACTTTTCTGACTATTTACCTCTCTAAAATTAACAGGACCACATGAGAACTAGATGTAGAAATGTTTGTTAAAGTGCACTGTAGAATGAAAAGTGCTAGAGAACCTAAACTGTGATTCATACCATGTTCTGCCCAAAGCCTCTGTTGATCTGCATCCTGGTTGTGTTAGAATATAGACCTGTGCATTCAGCCTCTCTTTGTACCTGCTGTACAACATTTATTAACAAAATATTGGAAGGTAAGAGGTGCTGATGACCGGTCGAGTAATCAGCATGTTGATCGATCTGCACATAGTAATCAAAAACAACTTGTGTGGTTCTTTTGGATTCGTGTTCCAGATCACAGTCTAGTCTGCATTAATGTCTGTGAATGGATACTCATGTTAAAGATTTTATTTTCTTTGTTCTCTTTGCCAACTCACAAGACAATTTCCCTCAGACTTGATGTGGGAGCCTGAAAAGGTAGCCAGACACCTAGGTATGTATGTCTGTACAGCGTCACGTACTTACGTTGCTGTTGAGGGGCTGCACCTTCTGGACCTTGTTGTAAGGGAGACGGGGCAGTGAACACAGGTTTCACTGCTGCCTCCAATACCACATCCTGGCTCCCGTGGCTCAGACCTAGAGACCTTGCAGGCAGGTACTGTTAGTGATCTTAGCACTGGAGAATAAATTCTGCAAGAAGAACATTTTTCTCTCACCTGTTTCTTTGAGAACAAAGGAAAGAAAAGACTTCTAAGCTTGAATTCTAAGCAAGAAGCTTCAGTTTCATAAAACATCAAGACATTGGTTCACACAGCTTGTAGTATGTGGATACAAGTTGAAATTCTGGGAAGATAATCTTCCAAGTTCCGCAGACATCTGTATTATTTTCTGAGAGCTGTCATAACAGAGTACAGCAAATTGGGTACATCAAAACAACAGAAATTTGTTCTCTTACAGTTTTGAAGGCTAGGCATGTGAAATTAAGGTACTGGCGGGGCTGCCACACTCCCTCTAAAAGCTCTAGGAAGGGGTCCTTCCTTATTTCTTTTTTTTTTTTTTTTTTTTTTTGAGATGGAGTCTCGATCTGTCACCAGGCTGGAGTGCAGTGCTGTAATCTTGGCTCACTGCGGACTCCGCCTCCCGGGTTCAAGTGTTTCTCCTGCCTCAGCCTCCTGAGTAGATGGGACTACAGGCGTGTGCCACCACACTTAGTTATTTTTTTGTATTTTTAGTAGAGATGGGGTTTCACCATGTTGGCCAGGATGGTCTCAATCTCTTCACCTATGATCCGCCCACCTCGGCCTCCCAAAGTACCGGGATTACAGGCATGAGACACTGTGCCCGGCCCCTTGCCTCTTATTCTAGCTTCTGATTTTACTGATGTTGACTTAAAATCATGAGATCCATAAATTTGGAGAAGAGAGCTTTGTTTTTTAATAAAGGTTGCAACCTGCAGGCTGGCCATGCTGCAGGCTGAGAGGCATAGCCCCTGGCAGAGACTGAAAGCAGGCACTTTGAAGGAGGAAGGATGAGACAGGAACTGATGCTGAATGGTTTAGCTAAGTAGACGTATTCAACAGGTTATAGGAGGAACTATGAATATTCACAAAGAGGGGGCATGCATGCTTAATAAGCAAAAATGTATGTTGCATACATCCCATGTTCACTTAGGGGTGGAGACAACATTTAAATGCATTAAAAGCAGGCTTTATATGTCAGAAGATGAAATGGAGGACACAGGGCATCCATGTGCAGCTTCTGTAGACTGGCTAGAACCGGTCCATGGTCTGTGGAGGAATGTGATGTGGTCCTTGTCACCTGCTGTGTTGAGACCACAGGAAAGCAGAGAGTCTGGGTATGGCGTCTAGTGATTGGTTAAAATCAGTGGTGGAGCAAGTCTTTTGAAAGGGAGAGAAAGGCAATTTGGGGGGAGAGGGTATAAAGAGGCGCATCTGACCTCCCATCTCATTGTGGCCAGGAACTCAGTTTTCAAGGTTTCTCTGGGGTCCCCTTGGCCAAGAGAGGTCTTTTAAGTTGCTTGTAGGGGGTTAGAACATTCTTTTTTCTTTTGAGACAGGATTTCTCTCTGTCACAGAGGCTGGAGTGCAGTGGCTGATCATGGCTCACTGCAGCCTTGAACTCCTAGGCTCAAGTGATCCTCCCACCTCACCCTCCTCAGTAGCTGGAACTACAGGCATGCACCACCACACCTGGCTACTTACAACTTTTTTATTTTTTATTTTTATTTTTATTTTTTTTGTAGAGATGTAGTCTTGCTATGTTGCCCAGGCATAGGACTTCATTCTTATTTCACACCAGTGATCCTTAGCGCTCCTTGTCCTGTAGGCTCGTCATTCCAGTCTCCGCATCCATCCTCACGTGGTATTCTCCCTCTTTGTCTCTGTGTCCAAATTTCCCTCTTCTTATCAGGAGACTGGTTACATTGGATTCAGTATCCACGTACTGCAGTATGGCTTCCATTTAATCTAACTAATTACATTTTTAATGACTGTGATACTGTGATTTATAACAAGAAATACACAGAAGCTCCCTGACTTACTATGGGGTTACATCAATTGACAAACCCATTGTAAGTTGAAAATATTATAAATTAAAAATGCATTCAATACACTGCATCTATTGAACACGACAGCTTAGCCAAGCCTACCTTAACGTGCTCAGAACGCTTACATTAGCCTGTGATTGGGCAGAAACATCTAACACAAAGCCCATTTTAAAATAAGGTATTGAATTTATGTTGACCTGAAGGAAGAAATTGAGACACAAAATATAATTTTAAAGTGTTTACTTGAGCCAAGGTGAGTACAACTGCCCGGGAAATACTTCTAAGTTGCCTTGAGAAGTGCACCTTTCGGCCTTTGCTACAAGGAGGTTTTTAAGGGCAAAGGTGGACAAGGAGTGGGCTGATACAATTCATATTGATTTACAGAAATAACATTGATTAGTGATTGGCTATACGTGGTTGAACTGTAGGTTATGAGCTGTGGTGTCCAGTGTGCGGCATTGTCAGGGTAATTTGTAGTTACTTGGCATCAGTCAGTCTAGAGTCAACGTGGCAAGCACCTTGAAGAGATCAAGTCAGAATGGAGTGGGACGTGACTGCTGTTCCATTCCAGTGCTTCTCTGGGCCTGATCATTTAAGGGGGGCTTGCATTCTTCCGCTATAGTGTGTCTTTTCTTTCTCATATCTCATGTAATTTATTGACTATTGTACTGAAAGTGAAAAACAGAATGATTGCATGGGTACTCAGAGTGCAGTTTCCACTGCATCATGTCATTTCACACTGTCAAAATGTCAAAAAATTGTAAGTCAACCCATCGTGAGGGACTGTGTACATATTTGGTCTTGTTCCCATTTCCTGAAACACAGCACCTAAAATCTTTGGGATCTCCAAAGTGTGATGATATGTGTCTGTGTATGCTAGGCATATGACTGATGGCTGGGGGCTCCTGGATAGCCTCCAGGGTTGGGGGCGCTGGTTGCCAGAGGAAACAACTATGTGATTAGAGGGTTGGAACTCTCAGTCCCACCTGATCTCTGGGGAGTGGTGAGGGCTTGAAGTTTGAGTTGATCAGCAATGGCCAATACTTAATCAATCACGCCTGTGTAACAACCTACAAAGACAGCATTCGGAGTGCTTTCAGGTTGTTGAATTTGAGGAGGTGCCAGTAGGTGCCGGAAGCTCCACACCCTTCCCTCATTCCTTGCCTATGCGTCTCTTCCATCTGGCTGTTCATTTGTATCGCCGGTGATATTCTTAATAATAAATGAGTAAGTGTAAGTAAAGCATTTCCCTGAGTGTCCTAGCAAATAAATCAAACCCAAAGAGCGGGTCTTGGGAACTCTAGTTTATAGCCAGTTGGTCAGAAGCACAGATCACAACTGGGGCTTGTGACTGGTATCTGAAGTCGGGGGCAGCCACGCGAGACTGAGCCCTTCACCTTAGGTCCTGATATCATCTCTAGGTAGATAGCATCAGAATTGAATTGAATTGTAGGACACCCAGTTGGTATCTGCTTGGAGAATTGCTTGGAGTGCAGAGAAAATCCCCCATACATTTTGGTCACAGCAGGTTCTGTGTTGTGTGGAGTGTGAGAATAGTACAAACAGTTTGGTGTTTCCTATCGGCTTACAATGACCCTATTTCCAAATAAGGTCACATTCTGAGATTCCCATGGGCTAGGGCTCAACACTGTGGGGGAACACAATTCAACTCATAGCAATATCTAAGCACTAAATGTTTGTCCAGGAGGTCTTGAACCTGAAACGTTCCCAACAGCCAAGACAGAGACCCAGAGTCATGTGTTTCTATTTCCAACATAAACTTTTATAATCTACTGTGCTTTTGTTTTTATGATTCCCTCATTGGGAAAAGTTAGGAAAGAGTTTCTCAGTAAAGAATGAATAATGGGTGTTTGATTTAGTCACCATTTTTACATTCAGAAGTGAAAGCTCTGATCTTGCAGCACACAGTTTTTTTTTCCTTCTTTTTTTTTTAATGGAAATAGTTGGGGATTTAAAGTACAATGATTATAGCCTGAGGAGATATGATTGTCTCCTGCTAATTCATTGAAGTTAGTAAGGTATCTTCTATAAGACCTTAATCAGATCTTCTACCATTCATTCTATTTCTTTCCTCTATAGATTATTCTTTAAAGCAGTTTGGGTTTGTGCTTTGCAAGCATCAGGATTTTTGGATCTCACACTTGAAGCTGTGCCTATTGATCTCAAAGATATTTTATTTTCAGGACACATGGTCATTGAATTTTGTATCTGGAGATTGAATTTCTGGTCAGAAACAAGTTAAAGAAATGTTCTCGTTTTTTGTTGTTTTTCAGCATGGAAGAGGTGAACGTTAACATAAACATTTAGCCATAATTATAAATTCATCAAATGTGATGCAGTTTTAATTATACAAGGCCAATTGAAAATGCAAAACATGAATATGCAATTTTAATTTAGATACATGGGTAATTACAATGATACTTCTCACAGGAAAAAGCAGGAAAATTTCGTTTTACTCCTCGTTACCCCTCTTCCCTTAAATGCGATCCTTGTTCATTAAATCCTCTAATATCCTTGGAAATCGTCCTGCTGTGGGTTTTTTTTTAATTGCTCATAGACAACTGGAGTTAAAATCCAAATCCACCTAAAATCCAGTGTGAGAGCCTGTTTTAAAGCTCCACTTTGTGTTTTCAGGGGAAGGGCAGAACGGTCCGCACTGTTCTCATTTGTATTGACGTCAACCAAGTATCTCAGTGAAAGTGGATTTCAGACCCACCAATCGCTTACGGAAGAGATACGACATAAACATTGAAATAGTAGGAGCTATATTATACTATAAATATATAAGAGCTTTGTACTTGGTTTAAAGATTGAAGGCTGTTGTCTTCAATATATAGCTCTTCACGTATTTGTGTGGATCTCCATGTCTACATCCTCAAATAAACACTTTAACTTTGCAGGTAGGTAGTGAAGAACATGAAGACTCCATAAATACTCATATGCCAATAATATTTCAGTTAGATTCACCTCTATTCTAAATTCATATGCTTAATGATCTGTTTATTCTGTTATTAAATAAAATGAAGAGATGAGTTTCTTATTATCAGATATAACTATCAATTAAATGATTAAACTTTAACAAATATATTAGAATTTAAAACCAGTCAATTTGCTTAATTCTACTAATATATGAATATGCTACTAATATATTATTTCTACTAATATATATTAATATTCTACTAATCTATTACTTAGTAATATTCTACTAATATATTAATATTAATATTCTAATCTGTTAGTAATATTCTACTAATATATTAATATTAATATTCTACTAATACATTAATATTCTATTTAGTCTCCTTGGGAGATGTTGGCCAAGAGCGATGCCATTTCTCAAGTCAGGGAAACTCAACAGCTGGTGCCTTGGATGTAAATGTAGGTGTTTCTGGAGGGAGTTCAGAGCAGCTTCTTCCTATTCCTTCTTCCTCCATGCTGATCTCAAAGCTGCTTTTATCTGCAATGTCAACATAATGCTAAATGCAATCATCACTTGGGCTTTATATCACTTATATCTGATTCCCGTGTGTTATAACAATAATTATGCATATCATTAAATATTATCATTGGGGCAAGATTTATTTATTGCTATAAAAATTCTATTCCCATGTGATCAGTTCACATATTTTGTTGCTCAACCAAAAACTGTGTTCTAGTAAAAAAAAACAAGGGGGGGGGTAACACTTTTATCAATCTGGTTAAAACCTGATTTGGGATGATTCATGGAATTGCCTAGCAACAAAGCACTTTGATTTTACAATACTGGGTGCAATTTGACTACTCAAAACACAATAAGAAGAAAATTTTCATTGGTCTGCTTAAAGATTTTCCACTGTTATTGCAAATGTTTAAGTGGATCTCTCAGAAGCATGTTGGAATTAAAAACAACCACCACCACCTTCTTTTGAATTAGTACCTTATCTTTTAGAGCCTTTTTGAAGGAGGTTTTATTATTCATCACCATAACCAATAACACAATGATCATTATAAAGATTATTATCAGAAGCATTTATTAAAACCATTTTCCTGGATTGTAGAGTAGGTCTGTTGCTGTGGGAAAGAAGTATTTCATTAAAGAGTATCTTCACAATACAAAAGCATTTACTCAGCCTTCCATGTTGTTTTCCTGGGAGTTTCAGGAGTCATTTTAATAAGCAATCAACAGGGATTGAGCTAGTGAAAAGTATTTCAGAGTTAAGTACCACCAAAGTTAAATTCCCAACATTATCACTCTCCTTAATTATAAGCCACTAAGACAACTATTCATTGCCAATGTGCTATACAGGAATTTCCTGGTGCCCAATTACATGTGTGTATCCTGTTTAGAGAAGAGTAAAAAGGGGGAATCGTTTCAGTGCCTTCGGTGTGGAGGGACTTCTGGGCTGTGTCAGAAACACTGTTTTACCACTTAGTGCTGTGACTCGGAGATGTTCCCTGTGCACTTGCTCTGAGAACTGAGTGTAAGATCCCAGTAGACAAACGTTTTTAACGCACATGCAATGCATGCCTATTTAAATGGGATGGATGGGGAATGAGCATTGTTTAATTGGCTTTCTTATTAACAGAACATTACTAAAACACAAATCTTGCATTACTACTTTTCAATCAATGATTTTCAAACAATTGGAAAAGTCTGTTAAGTATTAAAACGAGAGTGAACAGAATCAGGATCTGGTCTCAAACATCACCTTGGGAAGAAGCTTTCCGTACCCATCCTGTCTAAAGGCACATCCTGCTCCCATTCCAGTCACTATTCTCAGACTCCCCTGAAGCCAACAGGTGCATTTACTCCGTCATATGCTAGAAAATACACTCCACAGGGACCTGGGACTGTGCTCATCTTGTCCACCACAGTATCCCCGGCAGCTAGACCAGTTCCTGGGCGATGTTGAAGCTCAACATCTATTGGTGGACCAGAGCAGTCAATTTCGGAGTGTCTCAGGGTCATAAAGAGTTAGACTGTCCAAACTGTGTGCCTGGAAGGCTATTTCTGTGGAATTTTAACCAATGTTACATGATAAAGGGGCTCTGAAGTCAAATAAATGTGAGAAATAATGGGATGAACAAGGCTAAACAGATGTTTTCAATGTAAGATTTCTGAGAATCTTCAAGATACGAATTATCCAGTCATAGTCCCTCCTCCCCTCTTTTTTGAGGAACATCTTCACCAATATTCAGAGAAAAAGACTTGGGGAAATGTTGCTGAATAGCAAATGAGGATGATTCTGATTGCTTGGGATTTTTGGTGATTTGGAGTCCATATAAACAGGCAGATATTGCAGAATGTTAAATATGCCCCCTTAAAAGAGATAATCCATTTTAAATGGCAAATAATATTTTGAGGTGTGCATAGAAGAAAGGTTTAGTGGTAATATGAGAGCCTCGGGTGTTGTTGAATCCTAATCTTATCACTATGTTTATTTTAGAGAAATGTAATTTCCTGAGAGCAACTCAGGGCTAAGTTGCAAAACCTGGAGAAGAAGGAAGTCCAGCAACATTTGTTGCTGTTTTTACATTTTGGTCTTATGTGACCTTCAGGTTTCAGCAGCTTATCCATCCAGTGATAAAAGATGCTTTTTTTTTTTTTTCGATAACAGCCTCTTTTACTTTGCCTGTTAATAACAAATGATTTCTAATTAAGAACCTCTTTTTGATCTTGATTTTGGGTGTACATTTATCAATAAGTTTAAAAGAAAGGTCTTTTGACTTATGGGATTTGTGTTTTTTACTTTTTTCAGCTATGCATTTGATCGTACTTCCCTAACCATTTCCCCAAATGGAATAATCAAATGAATTTTCTTTACCTGGTCTTGTCTCTTCAGATATTATCATGTTAAGTTGAATCCTATTCAGAGAAAATCTTACAAATATTGCAGAGTTGTTCTACCTCAGCTATTCTCTGCATCCTGTTTGTATTGCTCCAAATCTTGTCTAATTTATTTCTTTTCCTTAGGCATGCTAAAATTACTTATTCTATAAAATGGTAACTTATAAGAAAACACCACACATTTTTGCATTTGGTCCTGGTGACTTATTTTGCCACTACAAAGAAATTTAAAATGCCCTTTACCACTAAAGAGTCTAATTTTGCCTCTTCCCTCATGTTGAAAAATTTCATTCTAGTCTTACTACTAGTTAGATGGTCTACGTCTGTGGTTCCTGACATGCAGACCATGTGCGTCATGAGTTTCTTCTTGAGTCCATGTGCCCAGTAAGCAGTATCTGTAGGTTGACTAAATAATCTCTTGCACATGTATGGGTTAGTATTTTAAAAATGTAAGTAGACACTTAAGATTAAAATAATTCAAATTAATTAAAGGCATCATCGAATTCATAGAGGTATGTTTTTATTAATACAAAGAAAATAAATATAAATGCTACCTATATTATAGGGGTCTAAGAAATGTTTTGTTTAACTTTAAGTTCAGAGGTGCATGTGCAGGTTTGTTACACAGGTCAACTTGTGTGATGGGGGTTTGTTGTACAGAGTATTTCATCGACCAGGTATTAAGGCTAGTACCCATTGATTATTTTTCCTGATCCTCTCCCTCTTCCCACCCTCCACCCTCTAATAGGCCCCAGTGTGTGTTGTTCCCCTCTATGTGTCCATGTGTTCTCATCATTTAATTCCCACTTAAAAGTGAGAACATGCAGTGTTTGGTTTTCTGTTACTGCATTAGTTTTTTAAGAATAGTTGCCTCTAGCTCTGTCCATGTCCCTGCAAATGACATGACCTCATTCTTTTTTGTGGCTGCATAGTATTCCATGATGTGTATGTACCATGTTTTCTTTATCCAGTCTACCATTGATGGGCATTTAGGTTGATTCCATGTCTTTGCTATTGTGAATGGTGCTGCAATGAACATACACAGGCATGTGTCTTTATAACAGAATCATTTATATTCCTTTCGGTATATAGCTGGTAATGGGATTTCTGGGTCGAATGATATTTCTGTCTTTAGGTCTTTGAGGAATCACCACACTGTCTTCCACAGTGGTTGAACTAATTTACACCCCTGCCTCCAACAGCATATAAGCATTACTTTTTCTCCAAGACCTTGCTAGCATCTGTGTTTTTTTTTTGACTGTTTAATAATAGCCAAAAAATGTTATTTTAAACTTTTATTTTAGGTGTTAAAAAAGGTCCTCATGTTCACCCTAAGGGATTCCACGTTCCTTCCATCTTCTAGTAAGATTTTTATCCTATTATAGTATGTATTGCCCCTACCCATAATGTTAATCCAACGCTTCCTCCTATCCCTTTCTTGCTTTAGAATTTATACCCATAAGGGTGCCACATGGTTTTAAAAAGTATAGTGTGCACTTACTTTAATAATACTAGTTCACTCTTTTTTGTTTGTTTTTAGAGCTAGGATCTCACTCCATCACCCAAGCTGGAGTGCAGTGGCAAGATCATAGCTCACTGCAGCCTAGAACTCCTGGGCTCAAGCAAGCTTCTTGCCTTGGCCCTCCAAAGTTCTCAGATTACAGGTGTGAACCACCATACATTGAAAAATATGCATAAAGCTCACACTGAGTGGTTCTTGTCACTGGGTATGTATAAGAATCACCTGGCCAGGGGTGGTGGCTCACACCTGTAATCCCAGCACTTTGGGAGGCTGAGGTGGGCGGATCATGAGGTCAAGAGATCGAGACCATCCTGGCCAACATGGTGAAACCCCATCACTCCTAAAAATACAAAAATTAGCTGGGCATGGTGGCGTGCGCCTGTAGTCCCAGCTACTCAGGAGGCTGAGGGAGGAGAATCACTTGAACCTGGGAGGCAGAGGTTTCAGTGAGGCAAGATCATGCCACTGCATTCCAGCCTGGCGACAGAGTAAGACTCTATCTCAAAAAAAAAAAAAAAAAAAAAAAAAAAAGAAGAGAATCACCCAAATCACCCACGGAGAAATACAAACAAATCTCATCATGGTCCTGTCTCCACCAACAGGATGAGCATCTTCTGGGAAGGAGGGGGTGCTTGATATCTCTATTTTAAAGGAGTTCCCTAGGAGAGTCAAATGCATGGCACATAGGAAGAACCCACTGCCAGCAATGGACCAGGCACCATGTTTGGTGCCTGGCATTCCAAGAGTGAACAAGTTAGACTTGGGCACCGTCTCCTCTAAGACTCTGGTCTTGCAGAAATCCCACAGCAACTTCTCTTTGAGTCCAGTCAGCTTGTCACCAAATGCATTGTATTCTGACACCCTGCAATTATTGCATAAAAATGGTTTAATTAATTACAACATGCCAGACATAAACACTTGATTCTTGGCCTTTAAAGCTCAGATACCAGACTGTCTGGCTCTAAACTGCATGCCTGGCATATGGAGTGCACAATGCCTGGCACCTAGATGGGAATCAATAGATGTTTCTCTTTCATGAACAATTGAATAAAAGAGCAATGTTTGCTGTAAAGGAATTGTTTGCTAACTTCACATTTTCAATTATTAGTTGTGGGGAAAAACTGCCCAGAGGCAAATTTCCTGATTCCTGTTTATTAGAAAATAAACACTTGCAAAAAAAGACTGTTCTTATTACATCTCCCAAGTCTATCAAATTTCAAACATATTACAGTCTTTACTGCTAAATTTTACAAATTGTCCTTAATTCCAAGTGAGATAAATTAGATTTAGGTTTCTTCCTCTTGTAGTACCTCCCGATTCTCTCTGTCTCCCTCACTCTTTTTTGTGATTCTTACTGTTCCACTTTTATTTATGTTTTCTTTCTTTTTTTTTGCAAGGATAAGAAGATTTTGATTCTGGTACTTCTTGCTGGATGACTTTGGGAGCGTCAGGAAAGTTTTGTGGCCTACATTTTCTCATCTGTGTAATGGAAATAACATTTTCCACATTGTGCTTTAGGAGAAGGATAATAATAATATATCAAAACACATTTGGCCGGGCGCGGTGGCTCATGCCTGTAATCCCAGCAATTTGGGGGGCCGAGGCGGGTGGGTCACTTGAGGTCAGGAGGTCAAGACCGGGCTGGCCAACATGGTGAAACCTCGTCTCTACTAAAATACAAAAATTAGCTGGGTGTGGTGGTGCGTGACTGTAATCTCAGCTATTTGGGAGACTAAGGCAGGAGAATTGCTTAAACCCAGGAGGTGGAGGTTGAAGTGAGCTGAGATCGCACCACTGCACTCCAGCCTAGGTGACAGAGTGAGATCTGTCTCAAAACACACACACACACACACACACACACACACACACACAAACCCGAAAACCAAACAAAAAACCCACATTTAACTTGATATGTAGGAAGTACTAAAAAACGTCAATTGTACCTAAATATATTCCACTATTTTCATATTACAGATGAGGAAAATGAGACTTGGAGAGTTTCACCAATACACTCAAGGTCTTATAGCTCCCTAGGGCTGGACATATGCTTAGAATGTGATGGCAGTGGGAGAGGCCATGGGGAGGGGTGTACCTTGGTTCTAGGAAACACAGAGATAGTAGGAAAGTAGCATGGGAAGGACTCTATATCAAATGTGTATAAATCTATAACAAAATTCAGGCCCGAGGGTAGACGTGAGGCTGCTGATACAATAATAGCAGGAGAGATCTCTGATTCCACCCTTTGGGAGGCTCTGGCATGTTGGCTTTCAGCCGGTTCCTAAATCTTTCAGCCTGTCTTCTCTGCAGTGAACCATCCGAGGGCCTCTGTCCTTTCCTTGTATTTCTGGTCCTCTTGAATCATCCTCTTCCTCACATTTGTTTCCTCTCAGGTTCCTCATCTCTTTAGCCGATGTGGCTGAATGCCAGGTGGTATCCTGGCTAAGGCTCAGCCAATCCTGGCTTATGGGAACAAGAATGAGAACCTCGGGATTCTACACTTCATCCTAATTCCTTGGATTTTTAAGCTGTGTTTGTGCTGAGCTGGGTGCATGCTGTGTTTCTGTAGTCGATTTTTCCTCATCAGGGAGTCTCTCTTGCATACATCTTTCCTGAACCTGGTACTGACTGATTCCCCTGATTTTGAGTGTATTCTCCTAACAAAGGCAAGCAGTGCACATTGGCACAGCCGCTTGGTATTTTTCCTAGAATGCTAGAAGGAAGCAGACATTCATTTGCTTTTCGCCAGTCTCTCTTTGTCTAAATTGTCCCATTTGGCTCAGCCCGTTGGCTTTAGTCATTAGAAGGGGGATGTAGGAAACTGTTCCTCTTGGTTTATGAGCTTAAGCCCAAGTACATCAACATGTGCCTTACCAGGACAGAGATTTACATAAATATTCCTGGGCTATCAGAGTTCTGTGAAGAGTGTTTCTGCATTCCAGATGTAGGGCACGCATGTCCAAATCCCATGTGGAGGTCACAGTTCACTAACTCTGGAGGGCCACCTAGAGAAAAGAAGTGTTTCAGGATAATCACTCTGCAAACTGTAGACAAGAGACCCAGAAACCACCATTCTTTTGGTGCTGTTTAGAATTTGGACAAAGAGCCACAGACACATTTTTGAGGTGAGGAGAACTGCGTTTTCCTTTTCATAATGTAAAAAAACCCATCTTTAGCATTTTTGGAATAAGCAATATTCATCTCTCAATTAGTGTTAACAGCTAATCAGGGTGCAGCAGGATAGTAGAGCTTTCCTCGAACAGCAGGCAGCTTGTTTTATTTTTTCAATGCAGCTTAAAGATTATTTGAAAAATCTCCTTCAGAGACCAGTGTGCGGGGAGCCACCTACCCCAGTCAGAATTTAAAATGATCCATAATACAATATTAATGATTGATGCGGAAGCTCACAGTTTGGGGCTGGGGTTTAATTAGATAAGCATTGCAGCTGTTTTCGGGTGGAAGCAACTTGATAGGACGTGGAGCTGTTATGTGACTTCCCATCTACAGGGTATCTATTGAAGCGGAAACAGAAGCAAGCTACTAGGAATTATGATGATTACATTTTTTTTTTCAGTGCTGAAATGAGTAGAAGTCTGATTGTAGGGGAGGAAAAAGCATTTTGTAATTAAAAAGGTAGGTTTGGATCCTCTATTCATTTGCTCATGAACTTAACATTCATAGAAAAATCAGCTAGTTGCAGGCAAGCAAAGATCTGGCAAGCTATATGTAAAGAAGTTACATGTGTGGCTCTTTTGGCCTGTACCACTTTGCACGTACAAAATCCTTTTGCCTCAAACCCATCCTTCCCTTTGCAAACATCAGGTCATGTCAGGCTGCCTAATGTCTTATGCATGCAGACAAATACCTCTAATGGGCTGCTTTGGAATTGCTTTCTCACCCTGAAAACTTGAGAAGAATTTAAACTGGGGTCCATTTCACCGTATGTCACTTTCTAAGTCAAAGGGACTTGTCAGCATTTGATTACGATAAGAGGAGTTTCCTGTGTCTCAAGCTGGAAATGGCTAGAACGCACTGTGTAGTCTGTTTACAACTAAGCTTCAGCCTGTATGAATGACCTCTAGTCATGAGAGCCATCTCATGAGGGCAGTTTATTGAGGCTTATTGTAAATTAAATGCCCCAGATTTCCAGGATTTATTCCACCACAATGAGGCTTGGAACTCTGTACATTTAAAGTGGTTTTGTTAAATTGATTTTTAAATTATCTCTACCTAATAAAAAGGAAGCCTGTCTAGGTGTTTTGTGTTGTAAAATAATTATACTAGCCATCTGGTTATCTATGAGATAAATTTTTAATTGTTTATTGTCAATAACTACAAAATGTGAAGTCACATGAGAATGCTAAGTGTATTATTTTTATTGTGTAGATGAAGCTTACTGAGTCTTCTCCTGATTGTTCTAAATCAATTTCTGCCTGACTCTTTGTGAATAGGGGAGAAATGAATCTTTTGGAAGGTGCATTAACTCTCTCAGGTTATTGTCATTCTTTGCACTGAAAAGGGACTTAAGCACTGCTTTCTCCCTTCCGGTTAGAGGTGTTGGAAGGTGAAGAACTAGGGATTAGAAAGCTTGAAAAACGGAGCCCTGGTTTGTCCATTTTCTAGCTGTGTGATCTTGTTCAGTTTGCTAAACTTTGAGACTCTCCTCATTTGCAAAATCAAAACAATAGCACCTGCCCTGCCTATCTCACAGAGTAATTCTGAAGATCTAGTTGGATGACACATGTCTTCAGGTTGAGACCTGAAGCTAGGCATGTCTAATATTCTGCACACAAACTGTAATGAATTAATGTAATAAATCAACAGGGGCTTCAGTGAGGCAGTTCCCTGCAGTCCATGCTACTGAGAATAGATGATTCTGTCTCTCTTAAACTTTCCATTGATCAAGGACGATGGTGAAATATTTGGATTTCTAAAGCTTCTTCTAATAAGTAATAACTCTTACCACCTGCCTATTTTGAGAGGTGTGGAGAGAGTGTAGGGTTATTCAGGCAGATATATAGATGAAGAAAATTAGATTGTGCATGACCCAATGAATTACAAGTCAGACCTTGGACCCAGGACTTCTGATTCCAAGGTGAGTGTTACCTCCTTTACAGCGGATTATCTCTGCAGACAGTATGTAAAATTAATGGAAATGAGGAGATGGGCTATGAGGGAAATGTGTGATCAATTCTGGAATTGCAGAGTGCAGATGTCAACAAAGCAGGTAATTCATTAAAGAAGATCAATAGGCTGAACAGCATGGTTGCCATGAGATGGACCGCAGATCACTATTTTGTGTATACAAGAGATTTGGCTATATTGTGGATTTAAAAAAAAGTAAAACAGGCTGAGTGCAGTGCCTCGCACCTATAATCCCAGCAACTTGGGAGGCCAGGGCAGGTGGATCACTTGAAGTCAGGAGTTTGAGACCAGCCTGGCCAACATGGCGAAACCCTGTCTCTACAATAAAAAAATTAGCCGGATGTTGTGGTGTACACCTGTAATCCCAGCTACTTGGGAGGCTGAGGCAGGAGAATCTCGTGAACCCAGGAGGTGAAGGTTGAAGTGAGCCGAGATCACGCCACTATACTCCATCCTGGACAACAGAGTGAGACTCTGCCTCAAAAAAATAAATAAATAAAACATACTCCTTTTAGTTGCATGCAATAATGATTGTTGATCATTTGCAAGTGATGCTTCCATACTTGTTCCCTTGATAAAGTAATTGATCAACCTATGGTCCCTTCATGCCTTTTCTAATTGATGCTGATGGAAAAGCTGACAACAATAAGTGATAGGGTTATTGTAATACTCCATCAAGATCTTTGAGGATAGAGATGGATTATAGTGCTTTAAACATCACTATAGATCCTGAAGGCAATCAATAAACGCTACTAAGGATGGGAAAGCCTGGTGGACTGCTGAGTAAGAGGTAGATGTGAATATTTTGGATAAAGGGAATGTACAGAATGTAGGAAATGCTAATACATAGTTAATGCATAGGCAATAGACACAGGGCTTGTAATGTATAGACAAGCACTTACCTTGTAGAATAATGGTAATTTTGATGAAGGATAAACAGCAATTACTTTTAATTTATTGGTATCTATTGGTCTTCCAATCCAGTGAATAGTCTTTCAGAGTTCAAATTTGGGCTGCATTATCCATCCCAAGGTTAAATTTTCCACTGAATAGCAGTGACCCCAAATCAAGCTACTTTTCACATGACATAGTCACGCACTCGGCTGAACACTCCTGCAGCACTTTTCACATGCCTCTGTTAAGCAGTTGAGGCCACAGCTCTGATTGAGATGCCTCAGAGAAAGGTTATTAAGTGAGAAGAGTAGATGGTCTAACATCAAGCATTAAGGCACCCCAACACTTATAGGCTGTGTAAGTGAGGATTTGAGAGGTAGAGCCAATGAGTAGCTGGGGACAGGAAGACAATTAGGAGAGGGTGACATCACTATAGAAATCCAAGGAAGAAAGTGTTTCACAAAGAAGGGCGTGGCCAACAGGGCTGAGTTGTCGGGGAAGATGAGGGCTGAAAAAGGTCAGTTGGCTCAAGTAATATGGAGACCACTAGAGAACTTGGCAAGGGCTGTTTTAGTGAAATGGAGTGAGCAGAAATCATATCTCTGTGGGTTGAGAAGTGAGTGAGGGTTGTGTAAAGTAAACAGAAAGTACATACAACGATCTCACTTGCAGTTATTTTAGAATCCATGATGCCATTTTTCCATGTATTCCCCTAGAGTCACAGTTAAGACAAGCTGTGAAGGTTTCCATCCAGAAAGGCCTCCCATCCATCTGGAGCTAATATTATTTCCAGCACTCAGGGTAGCTCCTGAGAACCAACTAATCCTGTTGCCAGCCCACCTGGTGTAGGATTTCCAAGAGCAGCCGGCTTCTTCCAGAGAGGCCTGAGTCCTCCAATCCATCAGAGACTTCAGAGTCCAGGTCTGTGGACATTTCTAGGTCGTTTCTTTCCCCCATGACTCATCCATGTCTTTCACACAAACTGAACAAGGTCCTCTGGTCACTGTCCTCTTCACGTGGCCATGTGCTTCCTTCTCCCTGGACCTGATGTAATTGCTCTTCTTCTAAACTTTTCCGCTGTGCTCTGTGGAACCTCTATTAGTTGCAAACAATTTCATGCATGCTCTTCACCTAGTTACAGAAAGTTTCACCATTTCTTTGCTCTCACTGAAACCTTTGCTCTCAAGTGTATGCTCTCATTTGGATTGGGGTCCTCCTTGCTCTCAGAGTCCCTTGCAGATCTTCGCTCATTCACCATGTCTCCTGGTCACTTCCCTTCTTTCAGGGAGCCCCTGGACCTGCTGCCATTCTCTTTGTCTCAAGCGGGTGTGACTCACCCTCCACCCTGGGATCTTACCTTCTTTTCTACCTCAACAGACCAGGACATGGCAGGACCCACCATCCCAATCTATCCCCCATCTGACCGTTTCTTCTGCCTTCCTGCTTCCAGGCCCGACAGTCCTCAACCTGGGCTGCTGCAGCCTTGGGAATCAGCCTCCTGTTTCTGCTTTTGCCCTATATGGCATCTTCCATCTTCCATGACACCCAGAAGAATGTCTTAAAAATGTGTCACATTGGCCAGGCACGGTGGCTCACGCCTGTAATCCCAGCACTTTGGGAGGCCGAGGTGGGCGGATCACGAAGCCAGGAGATCGAGACGATCCTAACTAACACAGTAAAACCCCATCTCTACTAAAAATACAAAAAATTAGCCGGGCGTGGTGGCAGGCACCTGTAGTCCCAGCTACTTGGGAGACTGAGGCAGGAGAATGGCATGAACCCGGGAGGCAGAGCTTGCAGTGAGCCGAGATCATGCCACTGCACTCCAGCCTGGGCGACAGAGCGAGACTCCTTCTCAAAAAAAAAAAAAATTGTCACTTTGTGTCACACCCCCACTTAAAACCCTCCAGGAACTTTTCTTCATACCAAGACTGAACTCCAAAGCCTTACCATTGTCTGGAAAAGCCTCCAGGGTAGGCCCCTCTCTGTCCTTATCTCCTACCACATCCACCTTGCTCAGGCTACTCCAGCCACCCCCAAATCTACCAAGCTCATTCCTTCCCCACAGCATCCTCTTCCAGAGAGAGCTCCTCTTTCAGTCATCCACAGAGCTCACCCCTTGCTCCATCCAGTTCCCCACTCAAATGCCAACTCTCCCTGGTCACTTTAACTACAAGAGTTCCTTCCTCTCCCTGTCCCCAATACCACTCTCAACCCTGATGCTGGGCACACATCAGAAGCAGAATTATTGTGTCCTTGGGTGTGTTAGCGTCTCTCTCCTCCATTAAGTGCCTGGAAGGTGAGGATCTGTGCGCTGTGCCCACCACTGTCTCCTCAGCGCCTGCTGTGAGCTGAGTACATCCTATGTGCCAAATAAACCCTTGTTGGATGATGAAGGAACAAGGTAGCCAATTCACTCTTCTCCAGCCACTTTGTCTTAAAGCCATAAAACAAGTTCTTGTGGCATCCAGATGTGTTGGGCTAGAGACCTAAAATAGCAGTTCTTCTCCCAAAGTGCTACCACTGAAGAGTGGACCTCCTCTGCGCCTTCTCGGCATGACTCTCATAACTGTGCAGTCACTCTCGGGTCTCAGGATGGGCTCATTCCAGTCCTATCTCTTCTAAACTTTTGTCTACCATCTAAAGGACTCCTTGGTACCTGGCACAGGCCAGCCCATGAGGCTGGTCCCCATTTAGAATGGAAGAGAGTTGTGGTTCTTTCTCCTGAGTCTTCTCTCCCCTCTATGGGGCAGGGACGAGTGGAACTAAATGAAGGTCACAAGGCAGATATCTTCTGCCTCATAGCCAGCAGCTGTCAGCTTTGTTGGGCTCTCTGTGCTGTTATCGTCCTCTTGGCAAGGACATGTCTCAGCAAGCCTGTGCAATAACTGAAAGTTTTTCTGAACTTAAAATGTCGAGTTCTTAGGACTTCTGGGCTCAGCTTTGGGCCTTAGTTGCAATTCTGAGAAAAGCAGAGAAAACATACCAAGCCCCAGTGTCATCCTTTCAACCAAAGGTCCAGGAACAGCTCAGCTGCTGAGACTGTGCAATGAATGCACCGCTCTGGCCTCAGCTTCCTGGCTTTCCAGTGTCCCCACTCTCTTGGGCCCCTGCAAGACTGTCAGCCTCCTTACCTACCAGCCTCGAGGGACTTCCGCTTGTTCCCCACCCTGCCTATAACTTAGGGGTGATCACTTCAGCCTCCTTAGAGAGGTCTTCCTGGATGACCCCAAACACAGCAGGCTCTTCCTTGTCACACCATGTCTGTCATGGCCCCTACCCACCATCTGAAATTCTGATTTCCGTGTTTATCCTCTTGTTTCTTGTTTGCCTCCACTGCACAGCACTGGAACAATCCTTGCCTGTGTTGCTCACCACTGTGTCTCCAATGCTAATGCTAAAGCTTGGCATGTATCAGGCACTCAGTAAACGTGTTGAATGAGTGAAGACATTTCAACAATTCCCTTGCCAATGTCTTCAGTGCTCTTGCCCTCTAATGCCTTCCCCACCCGTCCACCTAAAAGCCAATCTTGGTCAACTTGCATCTCCTTTTCCTGCCCCTACCCTGGCCTGCTGAGCATGGCTGGAGGAAATCACGCGATGTTTGGGTTGCAGCTGCTACCAGTCCATGATCTCCAACCTCAGCTGAGGGCGACCATTCTTCTGTGAGTCTCAGTCATCTCTCTTCCACTTGCCACCATATTTACTTCAAGGCTTCCTCAGTTTCCCTGTGCCCCCCGACCCAACTGGGAAAGTGGAAGATATCAGATGGGAATTGGCTCAACTGTCCAGTCTCCCTGACACTTGTCTTCATCCATCCTCACATGCTTCAGTCATTGCAATGTGGCGTGGACTTCCCTTCCCTTCTCCTCCATAAGCACACACCTTCCACTGTGCTCTCCCACCTGCTCATGGGTTCCCTTCACCCAGCAGCCTTGCTCCTGGGGCTTCCACAGCTTCTTTCTTACTGATTCTTTGCCGTCAGTATTTAAACATGATCAAATCTCTCCAGTTGCGGAAAAAAAAAAAAAAAAAAAGGAAAACAAACCCCCAAGCCCACCCTCTCACCCATGTTTCATTTAGATTCTTTATTCTCTCATTCATTTCCTTTTTTACAAGTTTTTTATTGAATGCCTTCACTCCTGTTCATACTGAAATCCTCTACAATCTCATTCCGCCCCCACCACACTAAAGACCCCTGCTTTTCTGGAACCTTATACACTTAGGCTGATGAATAATTTTAGGCTGCAGTGCATGCAGGCCATTGTCTCAGCTCCACTCTAGGGAATTAAAGAAGCAAAGGCTTTTCATCTATTTATTAGGATTCTCCTAAAGAACCAAGTGGTACAAAGACCCAGAATTATCAGGGAAACCAGCCCAGTAGCCGCGCATTTGCTCTTACCTTCCCTATACCTTCATGACCAGTATCATTCTCAGGAGGTGGTGCCTTTCTATTTCTTCCCACCTGCCCCACCTACCTCTGTTTGCTGTTTTCATCTGGAGCACATGGTGTGGTTTGCCTCACTACGACAATCCCTGCTTCTTCTGTGGGAATGATCTCGACCTTGGCAAAGGTCTAGAAAAGAGTGCAGTTGGGTGCCTTCCTCCCACAAGATCCCCCCTAAGTCGTGACCTGAGGATGGAAGTTTTCTCTTGTGCCTGGATCCATATGTTCTATGTAACTGTAAAGCTGATGCCCAGTCTTATCTCTGGGGTAGACTTCACAGGTTGTCTGGGCCCCATGTGTGTCTCATGGAAAGAGCGGAAGGTCACAATGTCCCAAGGCTCCTCCAGGAGTTTGGAAGTATCTGCTGCAGATGGCTAGAGACAGATGGTTTTGAGTGGCTTGACAACAAAAAAAATGCTGTGCAAGTTCAACTGAATTCTTTTTTATTTTTTTACTTTATTTATTTATTTTTTGAGGTGGAGTCTCTCTCTGTCACCCAGGCTGGAGTGCAGTCACGTGATCTTGGCTCACTGCAACCTCCGCCTCCCAGGTTCAAGCAATTATCTTGCCTCAGCCTCTCAAGTAGCTGGGACTACAGGTGCCTGCCACCATGCCCGGCTAGTTTTTGTTATTTTAGTAGAGACAGGGTTTCACCAGGTTGGCCAGGCTGGTCTCAAACTCCTGACCTCAAGTGATCTGCCCCACTCAGCCTCCAAAAGTCCTGGGATTACAGGCGTAATCCACTGCGCCTGCCCTGAATTCTTTTTTTAAAGACTTCTGATTTTCACACACTCATTAAATCGCTTGGAATAGGGAGAAAGGATGAGAGGTAAACATTTTGGCAAGAGGAAGGTGGGAACTAGTGGTAAACAGCTAGAGGAGAGTCCACGGTGAAGGAGGGCTGGAGGATGGACGTGCTTGCCTGGTTGCTATGCAGAAAACACCATCACTGGTACACTGTGCCTTTTGCAGGCAGTGTCGTTTTGCTCGTTTCCTGCTCCATCCCTCCAGATTCCCTGCATTTCAAGACCATACCATATTAACTGGTAGCTCACTAACCTCACACCCTTCTGGGTTCCTTGGCCTGAAATTCTCTTTCTCATGAATTTTCGATTGAACTCTTATTCCTTCAAGGACCAGCTCCAACGCCAACTCCTCCACGAAGCCCTCTCTGATACCTATACTGGCAACCTCAATGAAATGGATTTCTCCTTCTTGCTTAGTCGCCTCAGCATTTTGTGTTACTTTAATACTTTTTCTGAGAAGTAACTGGTTCAGTTAAGAGAAAGACTATGGACTCTATAGAGTCAGACAGACTCAGGCTCATGCACAATTGATGATTTAGTCTGTGTGACCTTGGCCAAGTCGCTTAACTTCTCTAGGCCTCTGTTCTCCCACCTTTGGAGGTGCAATAATACCCAAATCAGACGACTTTGGTGAGGATGGGGAGGAGGAATATGAAGCTCTCTGCATGAGCTCCGTGTTCTCTAAGTTCACCCTGATCCATTGCATCTGCTGGGCACTAGGGCTACTGGCTTCCTCATCCTCATTAGACAGAAAGTTCTGTGAGTGCAGGGTTAATACCGTTATCAGTATGACATGTTCCTAGAGGGCCTAGCACCATGCTTAGTAAGTGCACATCAAATGTTTGACATATGAATTCCAATTTCCTTAGACTGTTAATTCCCAAATTTGTTCACCTCCTGGTGCTCCTAGAAAGTGAAAATATTTGTATGGATAACCTGGCGGGGCTGTGAGGGCATCGGTGTGGTGCTTGGTGAGAAGAGCAGATCCATTTTCTTTATCCTATATAATTATGGTAAAGAAAATAAGGTATTAAGAAATATATTAAATATTTTATTTGTACAATACTTTAAAGCACGACCTCTTTAAATTAGTGGCCCAAGGAAGTTATAAGAATAGAATTCCAATATAAGTTCAAGTGATTCTGAAAACATTCCGTTTTGCATTTTGTATTCACTATGAAATATTTATAAATATCGATAACTCTCAGGACACTGGGAGTCTGTCCTAGGGAACACTGATGAGGAGGAAGAGCTTTAGTCAACGTTTGTGTAAAGTTGCAGACTGTTTTTGAAGTGAGGAAGCGGACTGGCCTACAAGTGATGCCCTGGTGGGGGTCAGAAGTGGGTCAATGCAGCAGCAGGAGTTAGTACAGCACGGCCGATCTGAGCCCAGTCACCTGGCAGGTAATCAGCAGGTAATATTGCCTAAATACTTCTTGACTTTCAACGGAGCCCAATTTCTCCTGTTTTCACTCAAAAGGCACCTTGATCTTCAATGAATGTCCTTTGTTAAATTGCAAGGGACGTCCTAATAAGGTCACTGACTTCTTTTGGGCATGGCTCACGTTTGTAACTTGGAGTTCCTGATTCTGCATCGCATGTAGGTTGGCCTTGTTTGCTGTAAGATTCTGGAATGACTTTGAATAATGCTGTTGATTCCAAGGGACCCACTGCCTGCCAAAACTGTGTTCCAGGAGAAGAGATGGAAAGGAAGCAGAGAGGTACAACCTCAGGGATTGGAAAATTAGACAGACGTAGCCATCTGTTACCGCTTCCACCTCGCTCATGGGCGGCTGTTATTACAAGGCTATTTTTACAGGTGCATATTTTTGTTATGTTTGTCCTCCACTTGTCTTTCTGGGCTCATTTTGAAGCACTTGAGGCAATCCAGGGAGCCCTTTGGCTCTGTAAAAACTGCAGGATGGCTCAGAGCCTGGCATGGTAGGAGAAGATCTGTCCTGACATTCTGGTGTATTTCTACATCCAAGGATGGGAAGGGCATTTGGTGGCAATGGTGGGAGAGAGGGCTCAATGGGGCACCAGTGTGAACAGAGGAAAGACGTTGAGCAGACATATTGGGTTACTTCCACGATAACTTCAATTTCCCCACACATGCCAAATGAAATACTTGCAGGGCACACTAACCTCAATAATACAGAGAATAGTGAGACCAAATTGAACTCAAATATATGTGGGCACATAAGTATTTCCACCTTTATAATCTGACCCTAAAAGTGGTGATATACAATATGCCAAATCACCTGGGCCTCAGTGAAACTTCTTTTCATGTTGTGTTCTATTTTACTTCTAGAAATTACCATTTAGAGGGAAGCTCAGATGATAAAACCCAAGCATTCCAAGCTTTCTTTCTGCCTGGCACAAGTATTTATCATTTGTTTACATTATTCATACATTAAATGCAAAGCAGTTATTAAACATCCACCATGAATCAAGTACCCTGATAGATGCTGAGGACACAGGGCTGGATAAAACCGTCCTTGCTCTCAAGAAGCTCCCAGTCTAGTCTACAGATTTGCCTAGTGTGATACGTGCTGTTATGAAGATCACAGGGTGCACCACGGAGAGAGAGAAGAGGGGAACTTAAATCAGCCTGAGCCGTCAGAGGCACTTCATGTAACAGGCAGTGTGTGTGCCTGGATTCCTTTCTTCAGGAGGAAGGAAATACTCATTGGGTGAATCAAGACAATGGAGGGAATAGGACATTGGTCTGAAAACAACAGCACATGCAAAAGGTCCTGAGGTGGGAGCAACCTGGACCATTCTTGGTACAAGGGACAGCAGGGAGTTTGATAAAGCCAGAGGACAAGGTGTCTGGGGGACAGGGAGAATGGTTGATGAGACAGGAGAGATAGGTGAGCACTAGATCATGAAGGGTCTCCCATGACAAGCCAGGACTTTCTTGTGGGGACTTTCTTATGAAAACCATAGGGAGCTGGTGAAATAGTGGGAATAGATGGCGGCAGCTTGGCTGTTTTTGAATTTGAGAGCAACCAGCTTGGTGGCAGGAGATGGACAGTGCAGAGAATACACTGAGTGACATTGAAGTTAGAGGCAAATTGATCAAGAAAGGGGTGAGGGCCTGAATGGTCGTAGTAGCAGCAGGGATGGAGAAGAGGAGAGGATGCTGAGAGCTATTTAGAGAAACTGGTGTAGATAAGGATGAATGTCTGCATGGATGTAGGGGACCCAGGACAAAGAGCAGTGAAGGATGACTCCAGAGTTTCTATGTAGGGAAATGGGTGGGTGGTGGTATCATAAGCGGAGACAGGGATTCAGGAAGCAGAAGTGCATATGGAATGGGGGAGGGACAAGAAGAATTCCACTGCAGCATCTTGAGTTGCAGTTGCCAAGTGAATAATCCTGCGTTCATTTTCTGTGTGGCATGAACAATCCCATTGTCTACAGAGTGGGCCTGATGTTCTGTATCTTTGAGAACTGTCTCCTGATCTGCTCTTCTGTTCCCTCTCCACCTCCTCCTCCACATGAACCCCCAGCAGTCTTCCTGCTGCCCTCTCTATTCATCCCCCTCATCTGTGAGTATCTTTCCTTTGACACCTCTTTCGAGCCTCTCCATCCTCATATGATTTTCCGTGCCATCTCATTGAAAATCACTGTTCCCCGAGCAGCACCACGTGGCATTCTGTGTTGCTCGATGTCTGCCTTCCCTGATGTTCTGCTCTCCCTCACAGAGGTGGGGGCATCCAACATGATGGGAGTTAACTCGTCAGGGGTGAGCTCGCGCAGCTGCAGAACATGAAAATGGCTGGCTGAATGCAACACGGTCCATGAGAGAGGTCCCTGGAGGTTGCTGAATATCTGTTTGAAAAAGGAGATCAAAATGACTGTGTTGTGGGCCATGGGGATGGAGAGACTCACTCATTCTTCACAACTATCTTCTCTTTTGGTAGCAGCACCCTCAGGCCTCTGGCTCTTTGCTGTGGCCAGGAACTCCCTGTGGGTTTGGGATGTGGTGGTGCTGCCAAGAGAGACCCAGCTGACGGCCTTCCTCTCTGGGTCAGCTGGCTGCCCCTCCTGCATCTGAGGACTCCCTTCTTCACATTGCTCCTCTTCTTCCACTTCCTGAAGCATGGTAGCTGAGCAATCTGAGCGGGTCCATTTCTGATTCTATGGGAATTTAGGCCCCAGGGTCTTCAAGCCCTCCTTCCGATAGGGAAAGCACTGCACATCACAGGGTGACTGTGACCTTGGCCTGGGCCTTTGGCGGACAGTGACCAGAGTCCTCCCATCTTCCATCAGCTGAGGTTCTCACCTGTGCACCTGACCATCTTGGTATCCACATAGGAGGCTCTGAAGAGTACATATACTGGTACATCAGCGTACATTCTAAGCTTGTTAAAGGCAGAGATGTGGTATATCCCTTCAACACCTAATACTTGCCATATAATAGATGCTCAGTAAATGTGTGTTGTTGAAAAGGTATGTGACTAGGTAAATTTCCTTGAAATGATCAATAGTAGTTTATATATACATATATAAGTAATACCACACTATTTTCATCATAGCTACTGTTTTTTGTTTGTTTGTTTGTTTCAGCACCTACTATGTCAGGCACTATTCCAGGCATTCTATGCACATTATTTCTAATCATCTCAACTAAGTGCATTCATTTTGTTTTTGACATATATTTATTGAGACTTCATGAGGTTAAGTTGCCTTTCCAAGGCACATCAGAAGTATCCTGAACTGAGGTTTAAATATAAGTTATTTTTAGCAATATCCATGCTCTTTCATGAGCTCATTCTCACCAGCAAATATCTTTGACAATCAGGTCTATATGTGAGTCAGCACCATCACGCCATCCTTTGGTCTGGGGCTCTGCCCCGTACTTTCCGCCATATGCAGCCACCAGCCCTATAGCACTCTAGCATGTGTGTGACACGCACGTACATACACACACTTTTCCCTGCCTCTGCCTCACTCATACCCCATGCTCCACTAGGAATGGGACCCTTACTCTTCCATAAAATATTTGATGCTTTCTTTCTTCTCTGCTTCTTTTTAGTGCACATGATTCTCTCTTATTACAGTTTTTGCTTATTCAACACTCTTAAGAAGAAATACTCATCAATGTGTGATATGTTAATATATTGCCTTGGCTAGTGCTACATGGTTCAGCTATTTTTGGAAAAAAAAGAGGATTTCTAGTTTGCCGATACAAATTGGTTTCGCAATATATTTCCCTATATGTTAGTCTTTGTATTTCTCCTCATTTTCCCCCCTCGTCTAAGGTTCCCTTTCTTCAATATTTTCCTTTTGCATCTGTTGGGACTTTAATATTGGGGTTTCCTTGGAAACTTGTTACTGGAAAATACTGAGCCATTTTATTGTAGGACTGGGTAAATACTGTGACTTATTGTGGCCAGATCAATTTAATGGCAAGGAAATGCTTATGTTCCAAGACCAATAATTACAATCCATTCCTCACTGGCTTTCCCGCTTCTGGCATGGCTCCCTGCAGTCAATCCTTCATGCAGCTGCCAACTTCATTTTTCTCACCCGCTGCTCTGACAGCATCACCTCTCTCATCCAACTCCTACAGTCGCTATTACCCCTCATGTCCATCCACACCCAAAGCTATCCCCTTAGCTTCAAGACCCTCACTACCTCAAGAGCCTTTTCCCCTCCAGTCCTAGCTAGCATTCTGCTGACAGTACTTTCACACAAGGACGTCCCTAGCCCTTAGAGACGCTCACTCTATCAAGAATTGATTGGCAGCATGCCAGTGGATTCCAGATGGATTTCTCAGTGTTGCTCCCTTTGCCTCTGAATCCCTTCCCAATACTTCTGTTCTCCCAGCCACACTCTTTGCCAAGCGTACCTGCTGAAATTTCACCTCTTTCCTATAGTCTTTTTCATTTAACAGAATGATAGATTGTATGATATATTTTATTTATTTATTATTTTTTTAAGACAGAGTCTTGTTCTTGTTGTCCAGGCTGGAGTGCAATGGTGTGATCTTGGCTCACTGCAACCTCCGCCTCCCGGGTTCAAGTGATTCTCCTGCCTCAGCCTCCCAAGTAGCTGGGATTACAGGCATGTGCCACCACGCCCGGCTAATTTTTGTATTTTTAGTAGAGACGAGGTTTCACCATGTTGGCCAGGATGGTCTCGAACTCCTGATCTTGTGATCCACCCGCCTCGGCCTCCCAAAGTGCTAGGATTACAGGCATGAGCCACCAAGCCCGGCCCAATACATTTTATTTTTACTTTTATTTATTTTTTGAGACGACGTCTTGCTGTGTCACCCAGGCTGGAGTGTGGTAACACAGTCACGGCTCACTGCAGCCTCGACTACCCGGGCTCAAGCAATTCTCCCACCTCAGCCTCCCAAGTAGCTGGGACTACAGGTGTAAGCCACTGCACCTGGCCCTGTATGATACATTTTAAATTAAAAAAAATTCAATTGTGGCAAAACACACATAACATAAAATTTACCATCGTAACCATTTTTGAGCATACAGTTTCGTAGTGTTAAGTACCTTCACATTGTTGTGCGATGAATCTCCGGCACTCTTCTCATCTCGCAAAACTGAAACTCTGCACCCATTATACAAAACTTCTGATTCGCCCTTACCCCTGGGCCCTGGAAACCACCATTCTGCTTGCTGTCTGTGTGAATGGGATTACTCTAGGTACCTCATCCAAGTGGACTCATACGGTGTCTGTCTTTTTTTGTGACTGGATTTTTTCACTTAGCATAATGTCCGCACGGTTCATCCATGTTGTAGCATGTGTCAGATTCTTTTTCCTTTCAAAAGTTGAAAAATTCTCATTGTGTGCATATATCACATTTTGTTTATTGGGTCATCTGTCAGCAGGCACTTGTGTTGCTTCCACCTTTGGCTATTGTGAACAATGCTTCTGTGAACATGGGTGTACAACTGTCTCCCTTGGCAACACTGTTTTCAATTGTTTTGGGTATATACTCATCAGTGCATTTTTAAACTCACGAAATAATTTTTGACGTTTGCTTTAAGAGGGTTTAAGTAGGATGAAACAAAAGCAACTATGTAGTGCTTTTCAATGGATCCATAGTAAGGGATGTGCTAATGTGAAGATGGGTTGTACCTGCTTCAGAACCCAGTGGTAATAAATGAATATTTCACAGTGAACAGTGAGCAGCATTTGTTTGTTGAACAGTTCAAATCTCAGAAACAGTGGGAGAGGTGATAATTCAAAAAATTGTTGAGTGTGGTTAGCTGAGTAAGTCAGTATACCTTAGGGTCTAAGTGTTTTAGGTGCTCATCTTCATTTTATAACACTTGTGGTTCTGTGATGTCAAAATAATATGTTTGTAGTAGAAAATATGGAAAGTACGAAAACACATACACACTTGTGTGTGTGTGTGTGCATGCAGCTCGTTTGCTAAGTGAAAAGTGTACATTCCCCTCCTTGCCAAGAGAAGTCCCCCTGATTCTCTCCCATGCCCCTTATGGGGCATTGCTCCATGTGTGTAGGGAGTCCTGTGTGGCTGGGCTGGGACACATGAGTCACAGGGATTACCCTTGTCTCTCTGGCATGGGACTCAGGCTATATGTGACTTCTTTTCCTTCAGTTTACACCTGATCTTACTCTTGAATCTTAACTCTCTGATGACAAAAGAGTCAGGAAAAGATGAAACCAAGGAAAAGTGTACCAGTGACAAAGAGTATTGTCCATTAAGGCCCACAGCAAAGTTGGCCTAAGTGCTTCCTTCCCTCTTCCAGGCAGGAGGCAGCTTGAGGCCACGCTACATGGCAGAGACCTTACTGCATAGAGCCCAGGTTTTGAACACCTTCTCTGGTCATGGATTAAGCTGGAGCCCCTAGCACCACAGACCTGTATCCTTGACCTTGATCCTATTGCAGCGCACCTCTCTGTGGTGTCCCTGCTTGTGGCTTTGAGCTGTCCCTCTGCTCAGTGCATGCCATTGCATGGGTCACAGTGGAGGTCCTCCTTGCCATACAAGATGTGTCCCATCTTTCCCAAGGAGGTTCCCAGTATGTAGGTAGATCAGAGTTTTCAAATGAAAGCACTTCATACTCAGCAAGTATGCTGCAGTCTCAAATTTTGGGTTTCTTTCTTCAATTCCCCCAAAACAGATGCTGTTTCTTGAGATGATTTTGTTATGCAAGAGAAGACTGGTGCAAAAAAAAAATTGAGGAAGAGTTGAGCAATGACTTTCCTCCCCTCACTTGTTATTGTTTATTTCTTCATCTGGCTTGATGGCAAATTCAATGGAGAAGGTGCCAATCTATCCACTCTTGCTTCTAGCAGAGTCACAGAATTTCTCACATTAGAGTCACTCTGAAAAACCCAATCAATATTTGCTTAAAGAGCAAATCGGAGGCACCATTCTCATTTGAAAGTTAAGGTCCCCTTGGGATGGGATCGGCAAGCCAACTTCCTTCGTTTTTGGCTTTCCTCCTCTCTCTCTCTCCAGGGTTTTGATTCTCACTACCCTCTCACCTTCCTGCTTAATCCCCAGCCTCCATATGCCATCCATTTTTCTGGACTTTCTGCTGTGATCCAGGATTTGGAATTGGTCCTCATCCTTCCTGTTTTCACAGCAGGCCAAAAAAAAAGTAACAAAGGAATTAAAATCCCTTATGAATCAGCAGTTTGCAGAGCAGACTTCTCTTACGGATGCTTCTCATTAATACCAGGCAAGGTGTTTATTGATAGAAAACTGCAGAGGAATTTTTACAAAGTTTTTTTTTTATGTCTTCGACTCCCCCAAATAATCAGGAAACCTTTTCACTGATATACCTTATACATTTTAAATCAGAATTTCTTTTGGTGGCTTTTAACTGACGAGGCCATAGGTTTTGAGATATGCTCAACTAAAATGAATGAGGAGACCACAGGAGAGAGCTCCAACGTGGCTGACATGTATAGTGGACAGAAAACAGAGACCTGCGTTGGGCTTTGTTTATTCTTTCAAGTCTCTAAGCTGTTGAATGACAATACCCTGTATGGCATCTTAGCAGAAATGACCTGCATTTTTCATTTTTTCTTTGGTCCTCTAAAGCGTGGTGTATACCTTCTGTGTGGTTCAGATATCTTCCATATCATATTGGAGCCTTATTAACATGCCATGTGTAATACATTGACATTAGAAATAAGTCAAGCACATTGTGTGCGTGTGTGAGAGAGAGAGTATGCAAATAAAACCTAGTTCAATTTTCATAGCTACCTAGAAAGCATCTATTGTTACCCTCCTTTCACAGATGTAAAAGTCAAGGGTCAGATAAGTGACATAATTTGACATCTCACAGTAAGAGAAAGAGCTGGGATTTGCACGAGGGGTCTGCATTTACAAAACCAGTGTTCTTTTCATCTCTATGCTGCTGTTCCTTTGGTGGTGAAAATGATTATCTATCAGTCCCCTTGCCCTGCCATTTTCTCTCAAGCATTGCCTGGCTGAGAATAGTTGCCCAACAGTTGTGAATTTCCTTCCTTCCGTTTCCTCCTTCTCCGATCTGGCCAAGTTTCTTGGCTGCAGGCATTTACAGACTATCAAAATTCTCAAAACAGTTCAAACCAGTTCTGTGTATGAGCAGAATATAGAATCTGTCATAATGTTGGCCCCCTGAAATTATGTTTTTATACACTATGCTTTTCAAATTGGGGCCAATCAACTCGTCATTCACTGAAATATTTTCAGCAGAGATTACACTGACACATGGGGATGCATATGTCACATTTTATAGGGGAGGTTTTAAAATATGATCATTCCACTGGCATCGATTCCTTGTTAACCAAAGACGAGGTTATTTAGATGCATTGAGTGTGGCTCTTTTGGATCAACTCAGCTACTTTTGATCTTACCCAGACTTTTACAATTTTGTCTTACAAGGATATAAAAAACAAAATTTCATCCTCCTGATAGAGTAGGAAAATGATTAAATATACTATAGATATTGGAGAAATGGAACCATATTCAATTACAGTGCAAGCGTATGAAGTTCCATTTCTCACTGTGTCTGAAGTTCTGCAGTTGGGTTTCTGCCATACTAAGACGGGCGGGAGTCTCCTTGATTGAAGGTCTTCTTAGGTGAAATGCAGGATGACTGGTTATTTTTCTCGGAAATAAGGCCAGTGCAGATTTGAGAGCAGCACAATTTAGCTTCACCACTGTGCTTCTCAATCTGGAGAAATCCAAGCTATGGCTATGGAGAAGTACAGCAAGCTTAGATGAGCACTGTACCAGGAATTAGCATTTCAGCCGGAAAGTGCCTGCAGAAGCCCAGACTTGTACATCCAACAGTATCCTGGACATCTCTCAGGCAGGCATCTTAACCTTAACTGATCTAAAACTGACCTCCTGTTCCTCCTTCCCTAACCTGCCCACTCAGTTTATCCCCCTCGGTGCTTGGCAGTGCCATGCTTCTAGTTGCTCAGGCCAAAAACGTTATGGCTATCCCTGATTCCTCTCTTTCTCTCACATCCAACCCATCAGCACATTCTGTTGCCTTTGTCTCCATAATACACAATACGTCTGAATTCTGACCACTTCTCATCACCTCCATTGCCAACATGTTGGTCCAAGTCGCCATCATCTCAAGCTTGGATTGCTGTAGCAGCCTCCCACTGGATTTCCTATTCCATGCTTGTCCTTGACAGACTGACATCAACCTAGCAGCCTGGTGAACACCAATGGCAGACCATGCATCTCTCTGTCAGAACTCTCTACTGGCCCCTCATTTCCCTTAGAATAAAAGCCACAGGGTTTCTAGTGGCTTACAAGGCTCTGCAGTCTTAGCTCCTCTTCCTTCTTTGGCCTCCCCTATTAAGACTCTCTCCCTCTCTCTTTCTACTCAGCAAAGTCTTCCTTCTTTTTCTCAGCCATCAAACAGCTCAATGTTGGCCTGAGACGGATTCATTAGTGATGTTTCATCAGGTGTCTCCATCTAGTGCCTTGAACCTGTTTCAAAAATCATCTCTACACCTTCTGGAGAAAGCGCAAACCACCAGTCCAGTTAATCGGCGAGACAAGTCAGCTCTACTTCCAAAATATGTGTCTAGCAGGTTCTTTTTCCGCCAACTTCACTGTCAGTAATCCTCATTCCCAGCCCTCAGTTATTATGTCTGAACTAGGGCCTTACGGCTCTGCTTGGGTGGGCCTCCAGAGACCTTCTCAGGGCAATTCTCGCACCTCTTTACTCAAATGTCTTCTTCTCATGGAGGCCTATCTTGACCTCCCTATTTAAAATTTAAAAAGTATTCTATTGCACTTCTCCATCATAAATTGAAAATCTAGGATTTCTAGAATCTAAAAATTGAAAATTTATTAAGATAATTTTATTTATTAACCATGGAATTCTGTATTCAAATAAAATTCAAAATAATTTGATGTCAAAAAAAAAAATTACAACCTGCATATTTTTCTGCTAGAACATAAACTCCATGAAAGCAAAAATAGTTGTCTTTAAAACAAACAAACAAAAAAAACTGATGTGTTCCTGAGAACTTAGAATAGTGCCTGGAAACAGTAGGCACCCATTACATATTGGCTTAATAAATGAATAAGCTGAAGGTCCTAGCTCCAGAACTGGATTTGATATTGTGGACAAGACACTTCAACCTTCTGAAAATTGGTTTCTCCACATATGGAGAGGTGAGGGTCTGCAACTCCTAATTCCTGACTTTGGGGAGACATAAAAACATTCCAAAATGTACATGATGCAAATATAACATGGTTCAGGGGCACACGTGGCAGAAGGTGTGAGTGACACAGTGGGCTTGTGCCCCATCCTAGAGCTGCCCTGGCTGCACACCCAGGGCTCAGTATTTCTCCTCTGGAAAGTTAGCATCACAAATTCTTGTCAAATTCTAATTTAAGGCTAATACGTAGCTGCAGTCTGACTGAATCAGGAAGAATTCAGACCACGAAAAGATGAGGGAGCCATAACGGTAAACGCTTCTGGTAAAAAGGCATTGCTATGGGAACTTGCCACTTTGCTTTACATGTGTAGCATTCTGAGTGACCAACCAGAATAATAAAGCAGCTCCTTGAATTACTTAAAATCACACCGAAACTCACTGAGGGCTTTGTGACCTAACCTTGCGTTAATGATGTCACTGTGCTCTGAAGTCCGGAAGTATTGTTACCTTGGGTTTTAACATTTTTGAATAAGTTCTTTATTAAAAATACTTGCATCAGAATTACTTGCCACTTTCTCAAACTGGTGATTTGTAATTGGAACAGATGCACTGGTGCACACAATTGTGAGAGTCCTATTTTAAAGTGTTCTTCCTCATTTTTAATGAGTTTCCTACCTTTAGGCATTGCGATATATGCCTTTATTCATCCTGGTTAAGATTTATAAGCAGCTTATAAATAAAAATTTTAATTTAACTTGTAAATGTAGTAGACATTCAACCACAAATGTCTTTTTCCTTAAGAGAGAGAAATAATCTTTACTCATTTACTCATGCATTCATTAATTCAGTTGCATCTCTGATGCATCTACTATGTGTCAAACCCTGTGTTAAGGGGTGAAGAACAGTAGTTCACAAATGGCCTCAGTCCTTACCCTTATTCATGGAGTGTATAGTCTAGTGAAAGAGAGAGAAATCAGACTAATAATTAAATACGATTTAATTAATATCAGGCTGTTACTAAGGAAAAGCAGTAGATTGAGCAGCAGGTAAACCTGAGCTGGTTGGGGTGGGGGCTAGCGTCTCCATACCGTGTGCCTTTCCACCTAGGACATGAAGGAGTCAGCCAGGGGAGAACAGGGTCGGTGTTTGTGGGATGCCCTGCATCCCGGAGGGTTGAAGAGCGTGTGTGATGGTCCTGGGGTGAGTAGGAAAAAAAGAGAAGGCCAAGAAAGAGAGAGACAATAAACTGGAGAGGGCCAAATAATGTGGGGCCTTGTCAGCTACGGGTAGAATTTGGGAATATTTGAAGAGTAAGAGGGATCCATTGAAAGGTTTCAAGCAAGAGTGTGACATAACGATTTTATTAAAGCATCACTGTGGTTGGTGAACGGAGACTGAGCTGGAGGTAAGTGTGGATGGAGGGGCAGCGCTTAGGGGCTTCTGCACTTGTCCCAATATAAACAATTTGGTTTTGTGGTGGCAGTGGTGGTAAGAATTGATAGTGAAGATGGTGAAAACAGAGCCCGCTGGACACACATTCTGGAAGTAAAACTGGCAAGTCTTGCTGATGGATTGGATGTGTAGTTTATTATCCAGAAAGTGTTGAGATGAGTTTTGGAACAGGCTCAAAAGACGCTACAAGAGGACACCTAATGGAACATCAGGAAGGAATCCAGACTCACAGTGAGGATGATGACATGATGAATTCAGCAGCTGGAGCTGGGTGGTCACCATGGGACAAAAGCTTCGGGGATCTCATTTCAGCAACCTCTTGAATTCCAGCTCACAATCTGGCATTTACATTCCCCTGCCTGCCAAATGCCAACCTTGGATTTCACTTCTGCAGAGATTTCTGGAGAGTGGTTATTCTATGTGTGTAAAAGAAGGGCTCATTCTCAGGTGTTTCCTGAGGATCCACAGAGAACTGCCAGTACTTCCAGCATCCTGGAACACTTGTCTTTTAAAAATAATTAAAACTTTTTTCACTGAAGTAATACATGCACAGAGTTAAAATAAAAATATGGAAATATGGAAATCAATCAATAAACATATGCAAAGACTTAAAATAGGAAGTGATAGTTCCCTACTGGGAATCTCTCCCCCGCTCCAACTCCTAGTCTCTAGAAGCAACCACTGTTTACCAGCTATCTTCATCTCTGTAATGATATGACCATATTTATTGAGGTGAAATTCACACAACATACAGTTTACCATTTTAAAGTGAGCAATTCATAATTGTTTCCAGATTCATCCAACTTGTAGCATGTAGCAGTATTTTGTTCCTTTTTATGGCTGAATAATATTCCATTGTATGTATATGGCACAATTTGTTTATCCATTCATCCAATGATGAACATTTGGGTAGTTCCTACCTTTCGGCTGTTACGAAAAATGCTGCTATAAACATTCATGTTTGGTGTTCATATGTTTTCATTTCTTTTAGATATATACCTAGAAGTAGAATTGCTGGATCATAAGATAATTCTATGTTTAACATTTTGAGGAGTTGCCAAGCTGTTTTCCAGTGGCTGCACCGTTTCACATTACCACCAGCAATGCATGAAGGTGCCTGTTTCTCTACATCTTCGGCAGCACTTGTTATTTCCTTTATTTATTTATTTATTTTTTTGTCTATTATAGCTATTCCAATGTGGGTGAAGTGGTATCTCATTATGTTTTGATTTGCATTTCCTTAATGACCAATTAAGTTGATTAACCTTTTGTGGGCTTTTTGGTTATTTGTACATGAAATATATGTTCATGTCCATTGCCCATTTTTTAAAGTATTATACTTTAAGTTCTGGGATACATGTACAGAGTGTGCAGATTTGTTATATAGGTATACATGTGCCATGGTGGTTTGCTGCACCCATGAACCCGTCATCTACAATAGGTATTTCTCCTAATGCTATCCTTACCCTTGCCCCCCACCCCCTGACAGGCCCTGGTGTGTGATATTCCCCTCCCCTGTGTCCGTGTGTTCTCATTGTTCAGCTCCCACTTATGAGTGAGAACATGTGATGTTTGGTTTTCTGTTCCTGTGTTAGTTTGCTGAGAATGATGGTTTCCAGCTTCATCCATGTCCCTGCAAAGGACATGAACTCATTCTTTTTTATGGCTGCGTAGTATTCCATGGTGTATATGTGCCACATTTTCTTTTTTTTTTTAAATTATACTTTAAGTTCTAGGGTACATGTGCACAACATGCAGGTTTGTTACATATGTATACATGTGCCATGTTGGTGTGCTGCGCCCATTAACTCGTCATTTACATTAGGTATATCTCCTAATGCTATCCCTCCCGCCTCCCCGCACCCCACGACAGGCCCCGGTGTGTGATGTTCCCCTTCCTGTGTCCAAGTGTTCTCATTGTTCAATTCCCACCTATGAGTGAGAACATGCGGTGTTCGGTTTTTTGTCCTTGCGATAGTTTGCTGAGAAAGATGGTTTCCAGCTTCATCCATGTCCCTAAAAAGGACATGAACTCATCATTTTTTATGGCTGCATAGTATTCCATGGTGTATATGTGCCACATTTTCTTAATAAGGTCTATCACTGATGGACATTTGGGTTGGTTCCAAGTCTTTGCTATTGTGAATAGTGCCTCAATGAACATACGTGTGCATGTCTTTATAGCAGCATGATTTATAATCCTTTGGGTATATACCCAGTAATGGGATGGCTGGGTCAAATGGTATTTCTAGTTCTAGATCCTTGAGGAATAGCCACACTGTCTTCCACAATGGTTGAACTAGTTTACAGTCCCACCAGCAGTGTAAAAGTGTTCCTATTTCTCCACATCCTCTCCAGCACCTGTTGTTTCCTGACTTTTTAATGATCGCCATTCTAACTGGTGTGAGATGGTATCTCACTGTGGTTTTGATTTGCATTTGTCTGATGGCCAGTGATGATGAGCATTTTTTCATGTGTCTGTTGGCTGCATAAATGTCTTCTTTTGAGAAGTGTCTGTTCATATCCCTTGCCCACTTGTTGATGGGGTTGTTTATTTTTTTCTTGTAAATTTGTTTGAGTTCTTTGTAGATTCTGGATATTAGCCCTTTGTCAGATGAGTAGATTGCAAAAATTTTCTCCCATTCCGTAGGTTGCCTATTGACTCTGATGGTAGTTTCTTTTGCTTTGCAGAAGCTCTTTAGTTTAATTAGGCCCCATTTGTCAATTTTGGCTTTTGTTGCCATTGCTTTTGGTGTTTTAGACATGAAGTCCTTGCCCATGCCTATGTCCTGAATGGTATTGCCTCGGTTTTCTTCTAGGGTTTTTATGGTTTTAGGTCTAACATGTAAGTCTTTAATCCATCTTGAATTAATTTTTGTATAAGGTGTAAGGAAGGGATCCAGTTTCAGCTTTCTACATACGGCTAGCCGGTTTTCCCAGCACCATTTGTTAAATATTCCCCATTTCTTGTTTTTGTCAGGTTTGTCAAAGATCAGATGGTTTTAGATGTGTGGTATTATTTCTGAGGGCTCTGTTCTGTTCCATTGGTCTGTATCTCTGTTTTGGTACCAGTACCATGCTGTTTTGGTTACTGTAGCCTTGTAGTAGAGTTTGAAGTCGGGTAGCGTGATGCCTCCAGCTTTGTTCTTTTGGCTTAGCATTGTCTTGGCGATGCGGGCTCTTTTTTGGTTCCATATGAACTTTAAGGTAGTTTTTTTCCAATTCTGTGAAAAAAGTCATTGGTAGCTTGATGGGGATGGCATTGAATCTCTAAATTACCTCAGGCACTATGGCCATTTTCACGATGTTGTTTCTTCCTATCCATGGGCATGGAATGTTCTTCCATTTGTTTCTGTCCTCTTTTATTTCCTTGAGCAGTGGTTTGTAGTTCTCCTTGAAGAGGCCCTTCACATCCCTTGTAAGTTGGATTCCTAGGTATTTTATTCTCTTTGAAGCGATTGTGAATGGGAGTTCAGTCATGATTTGGCTCTCTGTTTGTCTGTTATTGGTGTATAAGAATGCTTGTGATTTTTGCACATTGATTTTGTATCCTGAGACTTTGCTGAAGTGGCTTATCAGCTTAAGGAGATTTTGGGCTGAGACAATGGGGTTTTCTAAATATACAATCATGTCATCTGCAAACAGGGACAATTTGATGTCCTCTTGTCCTAATTGAATACCCTTTATTTCTTTCTCCTGCCTGATTGCCCTGGCCAGAACTTCCAACACTATGTTGAATAGGAGTGGTGAGAGAGGGCATCCCTGTCTTGTGCCAGTTTTCAAAGTGAATGCTTCCAGGTTTTGCCCATTCAGTATGATATTGGCTGTAGGTTTGTCATAAATAGCTCTTATTATTTTGAGATACGTCTCATCAATACCTAATTTATTGAGAGTTTTTAGCATGAAGGGCGGTTGAATTTTGTCAAAGGCCTTTTCTGCATCTATTGAGATAATCACGTGGTTTTTGTCTTTGGTTCTGTTTATATGCTGGATTACGTTTATTGATTTGCGTATATTGAACCAGCCTTGCATCCCAGGGATGAAGCCCACTTGATCATGGTGGATAAGCTTTTTGATGTGCTGCTGGATTTGGTTTGCCAGTATTTTATTGAGGATTTTTGCATTGATGTTCATCAAGGATATTGGTCTAAAATTCTCTTTTTTTGTTGTGTCTCTGCCCGGCTTTGGTGTCAGGATGATGCTGGCCTCATAAAATGAGTTAGGGAGGATTCCCTCTTTTTCTATTGATTGGAATAGTTTCAGAAGGAATGGTACCAGCTCCTCCTTGTACCTCTGGTAGAATTCGGCTGTGAACCCATCTGGTCCTGGACTTTTTTTGGTTGGCAGGCTATTAATTATTGCCTCAATTTCAGAGCCTGTTATTGGTCTATTCAGGGATTCAACTTCTTCCTGGTTTAGTCTTGGGAGGGTGTATGTGTCCAGGAATTTATCCCTTTCTTCTAGATTTTCTAGTTTATTTGTGTAGAGATGTTTATAGTATTATCTGATGGTAGTTTGTATGTCAGTGGGATCAGTGGTGATATCCCCTTTATCATTTTTTATTGTGTCTATTTGATTCTTCTCTCTTTTCTTCTTTATTATTCTTGCTAGCGGTCTATCAATTTTGTTGATCTTTTCAAAAATCCAGCTCCTGGATTCATTGATTTTTTGAAAGGTTTTTGAGTCTCTATCTCCTTCAGTTCTGCTCTGATCTTAGTTATTTCTTGCCTTCTACTGGCTTTTGAATGTGTTTGCTCTTGCTTCTCTAGTTCTTTTAATTGTGATGTTAGGGTTTCAATTTTGGATCTTTCCCACTTTCTCTTGTGGGCATTTAGTGCTACAAATTTCCCTCTGCACAGTGCTTTAAATGTGTCCCAGAGATTCTGGTATGTTGTGTCTTTGTTCTCATTGGTTTCAAAGAACATCTTTATTTCTGCCTTCATTTCGTTATGCACCCAGTAGTCATTCATGATCAGGTTGCTCAGTTTCCATGTAGTTGAGCGGTTTTGAGTGAATTTCTTAATCCTGAGTTCTAGTTTGATTGCACTGTGGTCTGAGAGACAGTTTATTATAATTTCTAGTCTTTGATATTTGCTGAGCAGTGCTTTACTTCCAACTATGTGGTCAATTTTCGAATAAGTGTGATGTGGTGCTGAGAGAATGTATATTCTGTTAATTTGGGGTGGAGAGTTCTGTAGATGTCTATTAGGTCTGCTTGGTGCAGAGCTGAATTCAATTCCTGGATATCCTTGTTAACTTTCTGTCTCGTTGATCTGTCTAATGTTGACGTGGGGTGTTAAAGTCTCCCATTATTATTGTGTGGGAGTCTAAGTCTCTTTGTAGGTCTCTAAAGACTTGCTTTATGAATCTGGGTGCTCCTGTATTGGGTGCATATATATTTAGGATAGTTAGCTCTTCTTGTTGAATTGATCCCTTTACCATTATGTAATGGCCTTCTTTGTCTCTTTTGATCTTTGTTGGTTTAAAGTCTGTTTTATCAGAGACTAGGATTGCAACCCCTGCCTTTTTTTGTTTTCCATTTGCTTGGTAGATCTTCCTCCACCCCTTTATTTTGAGCCTATGTGTGTCTCTGCACGTGAGATGGGTCTCCTGAATACAGCACACTGATGGTTCTTGACTCTTTATCCAATTTGCCAGTCTGTGTCTTTTAATTGGAGCATTTAGCCCATTTACATTTAAGGTTAATATTGTTATGTGTGAATTTGATCCTGTCATTATGATATTAGCTGGTTATTTTGCTCGTTAGTTGATGCAGTTTCTTCCTAGCCTTGATGGTCTTTACAACGTGGCATGTTTTTGCAGTGGTTGGTACCGGTTGTTCCTTTCCATGTTTAGTGCTTCCTTCAGGAGCTCTTGAGGTCAGGCCTGGTGGTGACAAAATCTCTCAGCATTTGCTTGTCTGTAAAGGATTTTATTTGTCCTTCACTTATGAAGCTTAGTTTGGCTGGATATGAAATTCTGGGTTGAAAATTCTTTTCTTTAAGAATGTTGAATATTGGCCCCCACTCTCTTCTGGCTTGTAGAGTTTCTGCTGAGAGAGCCACTGTCAGTCTGGTGGGCTTCCCTTTGGAAGTTTCTGATGGGTAACCCGACCTTTCTCTCTGGCTGCCCTTAGCATTTTTTCCTTCATTTCAACTTTGGTGAATTTGACAATTATGTGTCTTGCAGTTGCTCTTCTCAGGGAGTATCTTTGTGGTGTTCTCTGTATTTCCTGAATTTGAATGTTGGCCTGCTTTGCTAGGTTGGGGAAGTTCTCCTGGATAATATCCTGCAGACTGTTTTCCAACTTGGTTCCATTCTCCCCGTCACTTTCAGGTACACCAATCAGACGTAGATTTGGTCTTTTCACATAGTCCCATATTTCTTGGAGGATTTGTTTGTTTCTTTTTACTCTTTTTCTCTAAACTTCTCTTCTCACTTCATTTCATTAATTTGATCTTCAATCACTGATACCCTTTCTTCCACTTGATCGAATCGTCTACTGAAGCTTGTGCCTTTGTCACGTAGTTCTCATGCCATGGTTTTCAGTTCCATGAAGTCATTTAAGGCCTTCTCTTCATTGGTTATTCCAGTTAGCCATTCATCTAATCTTTTTTCAAGGTTTTTAGCTTCTTTGTGATGGGTTCGAAATTCCTCCTTTAGCTCGGAGAAGTTTGATCATCTGAAGCCTTCCCTCAACTTGTTAAAGTCATTCTCTGTCCAGCTTTGTTTCGTTGCTGGTGAGGAGCTGTGTTCCTTTGGAGGGGGAGAGGCGCTCTGATTTTTAGAATTTTCAGCTTTTCTGCTGTTTTTTCCCTATCTTGGTGGTTTTATCTACCTTTGGTCTTTGATGATGGTGACGTACAGATGGGGTTTTGGTGTGGATGTCCTTTCTGTTTGTTAGTTTTCCTTCTAACAGACAGGACCCTCAGCTGCAGGTCTGTTGGAGTTTGCTGGAGGTCCACTCCAGACCCTGTTTGCCTGGGTATCAGCAGTGGAGGTTGCAGAACAGCGAATACTGCTGAGCAGCAAATATTGCTGCCTGATCGTTCCTCTGGAAGCTTCATCTCAGAGGAGTACCTGCCATGTGAGGTGTCAGTCTGCCCCTACTGGGTGGTGCCTCCCAGTTAGGCTACTTGGGGGTCATGGACCCACTTGAGGAGGCAATCTGACTGTTCTCAGATCTCAAACTCCGTGCTGGGAGAACCACTACTGTCTTCCAAGCTGTCAGACAGGGACATTTAAGTCTGCAGAGGTTTCTGCTGCCTTTTGTTCGGCTATGCCCTGCCCCCAGAGGTGGAGTCTACAGAGGCAGGCAGGCCTCCTTGAGCTGCAGTGGGCTCCACGCAATTCGAGCTTCCCAGCTGCTTTGTTTACCTACTCAAGCCTCAGCAATGGTGGGTGCCCCTCCCCCAGCCTCACTGCTGCCTTGCAGTTTGATCTCAGACTGCTGTGCTAGCAATGAGTGAGTCTCCATGGGCGTGGGACCCTCCGAGCCATGTGCGGAATATAATCTCCTGGTGTGCTGTTTGCTAAGACCGTTGAACAAGCACAGTATTAGGGTGGGAGTGACCCGATTTTCCAGTTGCCATCTGTCACAGCTTCTCTTGGCTAGGAATGGGAATTCCCTGACCACTTGCGATTCCTGGGTGAGGTGATGCCTCGCCATGCTTTGGCTCACGCTCGGTGGGCTGCACTGACTGTCCTGCACCCACTGTCTGAGAAGTCCCAGTGAGATGAACCCGGTATCTCAGTTGGAAACGCAGAAATCACCCAACTTCTGTGTCGCTCACGCTGGGAGCTGTAGACTGGAGCTGTTCCTATTCGGCCATCTTGGAACCCACATTTTCTTTATTCATTCTATCATTGATGGGCATTTGTGTTGCTTGCAAGTCTTTGCTATTGTAAATAGTGTGGCAGTAAACATATGTGTGCATGTGTCTTTATAGTAGAATGATTTATAATCCTTTGCATATATACCCAGTAATGCATTGCCCATTTTTTAATTGGAATTTTTGTCTTTTGTTGAAAGTGTTCTTTCAATATTTTGGATACTAGGCCCTAATCAGGTATATGATTCACAGATGTTTTATCTCATTTTGTAGGTTGTCTATCATTTTCTTGAAAGTGTCAATTTTATTTTTTTTAATGTAGATAAAGTCCCATTTATCTATTTTTTTCTTTTTGTTGTTTTTGGTGTCATATCCAAGAATCTATTGCCAAATTGTGAAGATTTACTCTACATTTTCTCCTGAGAGTTTTATAGTTTTAGCTCTTATATTTGGGTTTCTGATCCATTTGGAATTACTTTTTATGTATGAGGTAGGGGTTCAACTTTATTCTTTTGCAAGTGGTTATCCAGTTGCCAAAGCACCATTTATTGAAGAGACTATTCTTTCCCCATTGAATGGTCTTGGAAGCATTGTCAAAAATCAATTGGCCATAGATATTGGTTTTATTTCTGGACTGCAGTTCTGTTGGTTTATATGTCTATCCTCATGAAAGTACCACACTATTTTGATTACTGTAAATTTTGCAGTAAATTTTGAAATTGAGATGTATGAGTCCTTCATCTTTATTCTTCTTTTTGAGGATTATTTTGGCTATTCAGGGTGCCTTACAATTTCATGTGAATTTGAGGATCATATTTTCTATTTCTGCAATAAAAGCCATTAGAATTTTGAATGGGATTATATTGAATCTGTCGATCCTTTTGGGGAGTATTTCCATCTTAACAATATTAAAGCTTTCAATCCATTAACATGGGCTGTCTTCTCTTAATATTGTCTCTGATTTCTTTCAACAATATCCTATAGGTCTCAGTGGTCAAGCCTTTCACTTCCTTGGTTAAATTTATTTCCAGGTGTTTTATTCTTTGGATGTTAATGTAAATGGAATTGTTCACTTAATATTTTTGTCAGATTGTTTATTACTGGTGTACAAAAAGATAGCTGATTTTATATGTTGTTCTTGTACCCTGCAACTTTGCTTATTTTTATCTATCTATCAATCTATCTATCTATTTTCTGAGGTGGAGTCTTACTCTGTCATTGAGGCTGGAGTGCGGTGGCATTGTGTCAGCTCACTGTAACCTCCGTCTCCTGGGTTCAAGTGATTCTCCTGCCTCAGCCTCCCGAGTAGCTGGGATTGCAGGTGCCCACCACCACACCCAGCTAGTTTTTATATTTTTAGTAGAGATAGGGTTTCAACATGTTGGCCAGGCTGGTCTCAAACTCCTGACCTCAGGTGATCCAACTGCATCAGCCTCCCAAAGTGCTGGGATTACAGGCGTGAGCCACCCTGCCCAGCCCATTTATTAGCATTAGTAGTTTGTGTGTTGTGTGTGTGTATTTGTAATTTTCTATATATAGAATATGTCATTTGAAAATATAGATAGCTTTATTTCTTTATTTCCAACTTGGATGACTTTTATTTCTTTTTCTTGCCTAAATGCTTGGCTAAGATTTCCAGTACAATGTTTAATAGCAGTGGCAAAAGTGGGTATTCTTTTCTTTTTCCTAATCCTAATCTTTCATTTTTTCACCTTTGAGTATAATGGTAGCATGGGTTTTTCACATATACCATTTATCACGTTAAGGAAGCTCTCTTCTAGTCCTAATTTGGTGAGTGCTTTTATCATAAAAGGGTGCAGCATTTTGTAAAGTGCATATTCTGTATCTGTTAAGATCACCATGTGGTTTTTTCACTTTGTTTGAAGTTCTATTAATATAGTGTATTGATTTTTTAAATGTTGAACCATCTTTGCATTCCTGAGATAAATCCCACTTGGTCATGGTGTGTAATTCTTTTAATGTTATGTTGGATTTTGTTTGCTAGTATTTTTTTGAGGATTTTGCATCTATATTAATAAGAGACAGTGGTCTATAGTTTTCTAGTGGTTTCTCTGTATGGCTTTGGTATCAGGGAATGTTGGCCTCATAAAATGTTTTAAGAAGTATTCCTTCCTTGTCATTTTTTTGGAAGAGCTTGACTAGTACTGGTGTTCATTCCTTTTTAAATATTTGATAGTCTTCACTAGTGAAATTGTCTGGTCCTGGATTTGCCTTTCTCTGAAGGTTTTTGATTACTGATTCAATCTGTTCTTTGTTATAGGTCTATTGAGGGTTCCTATTTCTTTTTGAGTCTATTTTGGTAATTTGTGTTTCTAAGAATTTGCCCACTTCATCTAGATTTAATTTGTTGGCATATATTTGGAAAAAACTCAAACTGCTTTTCGTCTGCTCTCATACCACAATAATCATCAACACAGAATAATACTTCTGTGATCAAATGTACGGGGTGGGGTTCTCCCCACCACCAAGTGAGCAATTGATTCTGCAGCAGACATCAACTGGGTGTCCTCCAGTTCAATTTCATCACTATCTACCTGGAGATATTGTCAGGTCTCTCACAGATTGAGGGCTCAGTCCCCAAAACCTCAGGCCCCATCAGACCCCAATTGCAAGTCTAAGTCTCCAGAACTTCTGACTGACTGAATTCAAGTTTGGATTCCTATGATCTCCTTTTTGGAGTAGATGAATTTGCTGGGGCAGCTCACAGAACTCAGGGAAACACTTATGTTTACCCTTTTATTATAAAGGCTGTTACAAAGGATGCAGATAAAGAGATGCATAGAGTGAGGAAAGAGAGAATAGGTGGGGAGCTTATATGCCCTCTCTGGGTGCATCACCCTCTAGGAACCTCCATGTGTTCAGCTATTCAGAAACTCTCTGAACCCAGTCCTTTTGAGTTTTTATAGAAGCTTCATTATGTAGGCATGACTGAAGCATGGGCAACCATGTCAAAATGTGATCGGACAAAAAAGCCATGCTCTAAACCTAGCAAGACCTGTCCAGATTCGTTTTGGCCTCTCTGTGTAGCATTCCTTCCTTTGGGGTATGAGGCAAGACCCTTTCTGCTAGAAGGTAAGAGAAAGAGATTCTATTTATTATAACAAGGGCTATGAGAGTTATGAGCCAGGAACCATGGGTGAAACATATATATACACACACGCACATATATATTATATATATAATACATATATATGTGCGTGTGTGCATATGTGTGTGTATGTGTGTGTATGTGTGTATATATGTGCATGTGTATGTGTGTATATATGTGTGCATGTATGTGTGTATATGTGTGTGCATATTCACATACACATATGTATGTATATGCAGACATGTGTATGTGTATATATACACACATATATGCAAAAACGTACATACATACACATATGTGTGTATATACAAATATACACATACGTCCACACATATATACACACATATACACATACACACATAAACACACATGTATGTATATACAAACATATACATGCACACATATATACACATACTTATCACAGCATATAATTGTTCATATTATTCTCTTATTTTAATTTCTATAAAGTTGGTAGTAATATTCTTGCCTTAATTTATGGTTTTAGTTAGTTTCATCTTCTCTCCTTAGTCAGTCTAGTTAAAAGTTTGTCAATTTTGTTGATCTTTTCAAATAACCAATTTTTGGTTTTCTTGATTCTTTCTATTGTTTTCCAGTAACACTGTGTAACAACTGCAGTATTTCTCAGTGACTTAAAACAACAAACAGTGATTTTTCTTACTTATGGGTCTACTTGTCAGTTGTGAAAGTTCTTGAAGCTATGCTCCAATTATTTTATTCCTGTAAAGTACTTCAATGTATTATCTTTCAATTGTTTCTCCTTTTTCAATCATAGGTGGATTTGTGGGAAATCCACCTAAAACTTACTCTAAACAAATCTGCTGAAGTGCATTTATGTTGCCATTTAGTGACCTTTTTTTTTTGAGCCAGATGTAGCAGAATAACTGGATGCAATAACATCTGTGGCCACTACTGTAGAATTGCCCTTTCCAGTCAATCTGCAAAACATCTAATAATATGTCACAATAGAAAAAAGGCAAATGACTGTGTTCATCTTCCTCACAACTAAGGTTATTGGCAGCAGTTTGCTGTGCGAATAAGAGGACTTTAGCTTTCTAAAAACATTGACTTATTTTCATAGAAGGCCTAAGGATTGAAGAATGTCAGCTCAAACAGGGCAAAGGTATCTCTGAGCTTACTCCAGGCAAAATTGAGAACTGGCTCTTTCCTGTCTCTAAATTGAGTCACTTGGTGTCTCATGCCTATTTCTGCCTGCTGTGTTCTGAGAGGTGGAATGTCATCATCATCACGTTCTCAATGACAGATAGAACTTTGTTAGCCCTCCCAGGACTATTTTTATTTTAGAAGGGATCAGGGTCTTAAGCAGAAAAAATGAGATGATATCATTTTTGTCACCAGCCAAGTAAGAAGATGGATAAGGCAGATGGCCCTTCTAGATACTGTCATATTCAGGGGACAGAATCTGAGAGCTATTTCCAGTCTTTTCAGACTTTGTATATATATTTCACTTATCAAGTTTCTCCTTTTTAAAAATCTCACTCTTAGGTATCTCATAGGAGCCCTACATGCTATTTTGGATAGAAAATAGGTGCCATATCGTTTTCCATAAATAACATAGCTTGTGGCAGTACATATTAGGCATTTGACTGACAATTGTTTCCATAGGTTGTATTTTCATGTAAGTGCATTTGATGTCCAGGCCTACTTCATCAATTGCCTACCTGTGTTTTCTATCTTTGATTTGTCTTGGAAACATTTATTTATAATTGATACCATTTTCACTTCCTAAAAGGAATTGAGCAGCACAGAGTAAAAGATGAAATAATAACTCTTTAAAAATAGAAGTCAGAAATTAAAAGCTATGTAGTAGAGGTAATATTATAAACAACAGGATTTGAAGTCAGGGACCTCTAGGAAAATTAACCTCTCTTAGTCCCTGTCTCTTACATGTAAACTAAAACATGTAAACAATTGTACCTATATCCTCGGGTTGTTGTGAAAATTAAAGTATTTAGTTTGATGCTGGCATATTAGCAAAACTTTTAAAAACTGAAAGGATGGACCAAAACCCCAAGCTTCTTTATTTCCTATTGAGAGGTGACAGCATGCTGGCGGTCCTCACAGCCTTCGCTCGCTCTCGGCGCCTCCTCTGCCTGGGCTCCCACTTTGGCGGCACTTGAGGAGCCCTTCAGCCCACCGCTGCACTGTGGGAGCCCCTTTCTCGGCTGGCCAAGGCCGGAGCCGGCTCCCTCAGCTTGCAGGGAAGTGTGGAGGGAGAGGCGCGAGCGGGAACCTGGGCTGCCTGCGACGCTTGCGGGCCAGCTGGAGTTCCGGGTGGGCGTGGGCTTGGCGGGCCCCGCACTCGGAGCAGCCGGCCGGCCCTGCCGGCCCGGGCAATGAGGGACTTATCGCCCAGGCCAGCGGCTGCGGAGGATGTACTGGGTCCCCCAGCAGTGCCAGCCCACCGGCGCTGCGCTCAATTTCTCACCGGGCCTTAGCTGCCTTCCCGCGGGGCAGGGCTCCGGACCTGCAGCCCGCCATGCCTGAGCCTCCCACCCCCTCCATGGGCTCCTGTGCGGCCCGAGCCTCCCCGACGAGCGCCACCCCCTGCTCCACGGAGCCCAGTCCCATCAACCACCCAAGGGCCGAGGAGTGTGGGCGTGCGGCGCGGGACTGGCACGCAGCTCCACCTGCAGCCCCGGTGCGGGATCCACTGGGTGAAGCCAGCTGGGCTCCTGAATCTGGTGGGGACGTGGAGAACCTTTATGTCTAGCCCAGGGATTGTAAATATACCAATCAGCACTCTGTATCTAGCTCAAGGTTTGTAAACACACCAATCAACACCCTGTGTCTAGCTCAGGGTTTGTGAATGCACCAATCGACACTCTGTATCTAGCTACTTTGGTGGGGCCTTGGAGAACCTTTGTGTCCACACTCTGTATCTATCTAATCTGGTGGGGAAGTGGAGAACCTTTGTGTCTAGCTCAGGGACTGTAAACGCACCAATCAGCGCCCTATCAAAAACAGACCACTTGGCTCTACCAATCAGCAGGATGTGGGTGGGGCCGGATAAGAGAATAAAAGCAGGCTGCCCGAGCCAGCAGTGGGAACCCGCTGGGGTCCCGTTCCACACTGTGGTAGCTTTGTTCTTTTGCTCTTTGCAGTAAATCTTAACTGCTGCTCACTCTGGGTCTACACTGCTTTTATGAGCTGTAACACTTACCGCGAAGGTCTGCAGCTTCACTCCTGAAGCCAGCGAGACCACGAGTCCACCGGGAGGAAGAACAACTCCAGACGTGCCGCCTTAAGAGCTGTAACACTCACTGTGAAGGTCCGCAGCTTCACTCCTGAGCCAGCGAGACCACGAACCCACCAGAAGGAAGAAACTCCGAACACATCCGAACATCAGAAGGAACAAACTCCAGATGCGCCACCTTAAGAGCTGTAACACTCACCGCGAGGGTCCGCGGCTTCATTCTTGAAGTCAGTGAGACCAAGAACCCACCAATTCCAGACACACTAAGACATTACTTTTAGCTCAGCATTTCTTGGATGCCCAGGCAAAAGTATGGATGCATAAAATTAGATAATCCCTACAGTCTTATGGAATGTGGCTTTTGCTGGCCAAGCCTCTCTCGCTTACCACAGTGCAACTTCAAGAATTAATATATTCAAAAAAGGCCTGGAATTTCCAAACAACATTCTTATTAAGGGTAAGTAGAAGTCGGAGTAGAAAGAATGTCTGGAATTTAATGAGTGTGTACTTTGTTCTGATACCTGTTTTTAAAAATGAGCACATGTGATTTCATTTAATATTCTTAATAATTCTATAAAATAGATATTATTTATCTTCCATTTCTGAATGACTAAAATAAGAAACGTAACCAAATTCACAGTCATTCAAATATTTATGTCCAGGATTGGAATCCAGGTCCGTCTGATGCCAAAGCCCATGGTTTTTCCATTCCAACATCCACCTACCTTGCCTACCCCAGCGCACCAAGTAAACAAGTGATCAGATAGACCAAAAAATGTCTAAGCAAGTCTAAGTCACTATTTAAAAAAGTGTGTTTGACTTCATTCACTTTGCCTTCGTGGGGAGCTCTTCTGGGCTGTTTTCTCATTGACTACTGGTTTTGTCTCTCATCTCCCTGAGATTTTCATCTTGGATATTTTTTCCCTAGCTTTTTGAGAATTCAAAGGAAGCATATGTATCTTAATATGCAGAATACAGAAATTCTCAGTAGGACATGCATTATTTCAGTAGAAAAAAAGAAAGCAGCAGATTGCAGTTTATTTCTCTTTGTATCTTTACTCCCCATCTTCGTGTGTGTGTGTGTGTGTGTGTGTGTGTGTTCGGAGGCTAGACTGCCTTACCCAGTTGTGGCTTTTTTGGTGGTTGTTATTTTGTTTCCTTTCTTTCTGGGTGCAGGTGAATTTCTAGCCTATTTGCCTTTTGAAGAGTCTCGCATAAGCCATCAACACACCTTCACCTTCCACCCATCACAGTTACCTCCTCACAGGGGAACCCACACAGTGACAACAGCTGAGTCAAAACCATCTGCTAGATCTTTCATGTCTACCCACACGTTCAATAGCATAGTATTACCTCTGCTATCTGATAAAAAGTGGTATTATCATAGCCTAATGGAAAACGATGTTCTTTCCAACAGCGCTTCTACCAAAGCTCCAGAAAGTGTATGTTGATCCGTAAAAGTACTGGAAATGCTGTTTAGATTTAAAACCATTCAGGGCTCCCTGCAAGTTTGGTAAAAGGCTCTATGCTTTCTTTGCATTATTCCAGTAATTATTGTGACTAAATATTCACCTACTTGAATAACTCAAGATAGAAGGGCAAAGATTTACTGAGCCCAGTGGCAATGATGAAGCTATGGCCTGGGATAAAATATTTGCAACACATACATCAAACAAAAGACTTGCATGTAGAATACAAAAAACAAAACAAAAACCCCTTAAACTGGAAAATAAAACAACAACAAGCAAAATGGGAAAAAGATTTGAAGAGACACTTCACAGGAGAAGATGTAGGAATGACTGGTAAGCAGGAAAGACGATGCTCAACATTGTTAACCATCAGGGACATCTCAGTGGAAACCGTGATGAAGTACCCCTGTATACTCAATAAGATGGCTGTTAGGAAAAAGACCCAGTGTTGGTGAGGATGTAGAAACTGGAATGTTCCTACAGTGTTGTGGGAATGTACAAGGGAACAGCCAAGCTGAAAAGATGTTAGCGGTTTCTTAAAAAGTTAAACCTACACCAATACATAATTCAAGCCTCTTCCACTCCTTGGTATTTACCCAGGAGAAATGAAAGCCATGTTCATACAAAGACTCTTACATTCTCATAGCAGCATGGCTCATTGCAATGGACATGCAATCTGTGTGTTCATGGACAGTAAATTGGAAAACAAAATACGTCTATCCATATAAGGGGATATCACCGAGCAACAAAATGATGTAAAAATCAGTACATGCAGCAACATGGATACATCTTAAAATCATTATGCTGAGTACATAGTATGGGGTCCCATTTAGATAAAATTGCAGAAGGTGAAAACTTATGTATAGTGGCAGAAAGCAGGTCATTGGTTGCCTGGAGATCATGGGGTCAGAAAGGGAAGAACTGATTGCAAAGGACACATTATGAAAATTTCCAGGGCAGGGTGATGGAACTGTTCAATGTCTTGATTGATTTATCTCTTGGGTGGATATGTCAAAATTTATCAAATGATACATTTAAAATATGTTCAGTTCTTGTTATGTAACGTATGTCTTCATAAATTAGTAAAAGAAAGTAAAAACTTAGTAAAAAATTTGCAACAAAGTAGTAAAGAAAAAAAAGTAGCTATTGGAGTAACCAGAAGTAATGTATGAAGAGATCAAAATTGGGAGTGATACTTGGGAATAAGAAAAGAGCTACATTTGAGAACCACTTTGAAAGACGTGTTGGCAGGACTTGTTGAAAAAGTAAACCATAAAGTTTTTAACAACCGTGATTGAGGAAGTGGTAGAAACATTGACAAAAATGGGAAAGTCAGTAGAATTGATAGAATTTGCTAATAGAAATGGCAGAGGGTTGAAGGGGAACTTCACGGAATGGACATACAGGTTGTATGTCTGTTGCTATGAGACATGCTGCTATGAGAATGTAAAAGTCTAACCTACTCATAGCTGCTTTGAATATCGTTTATGCCTTTCTCCTATCTTGCTGCTTCCTCTTGTTCTACAATTATCCTATGAATTTTCATTCCATGAAAAAGGAATTTTCTCTGTCTTATGTCTCAGTGAGTGACTTCTTTTTATCTTCCTGCTAATGTTTAAACCTGGAACCACTTGAAGCTTACTTAATCTTAAGTTTAGGCATGACTAACTTTCCTTTATTTCCTATTTCCCATTTGTTTCAGAATCTTTAAAAATCTCTCTTCTCATTCTGAAAATCTGCTCTCATAGGTATTATCATATATTCCCTAAACCTGTTTGCCTTTCCCCAGGTCTCTTTCTCCTGTACTTGTGTACAAGATTTAATATATAAGTATGTAATGTATTTTATAAAGAATTATTTAAAAATTGTTTTTAAAAAGAAAACCTTATTAGGCTAAACTTATTTAGAATGGCTCCTTGCCAAATGCTTCTAGACAAGAATAAATAAAGCCAAGAACAGCAACTATCTTGATAAAGATGTAGGGCTGGGGAGAGAAGAAGAATGTCAAGGGATTGGCAAGAGAGAGGTGCTGGGGCCACTGCAGGAGAGGGAGCTGCAAATGGGGGCAGGAACTTTAAGAAGTGTTGCTGTTGGGGGTTGTGAATTGGAACTGCTAATTCTTCATAGGTAAACCTAAAATTTGGAATTCCTCTTAAATTCCTTTTGATTGAATTGGGTTTCCTGGCATTTGACTCCCAGCAGGGACTGAGTCATGTGAAGCCCTTAAATGTATGAGAGCTAGGTCTGAATTGGTCAAAGTAACTACAGTTTCATACATTATAGTAGCCAAGTCCATAATACTTCAGTAAATGAAAAGAAGAAAGAAAATCACTCAATTAGAAGCAAGATAACAAGCCTATAACAATTTTTTCCTTAGGCATTTAGGCTACAGCCTGTTAATAAAGTAAATGTAGCTATGGGAAGAATATTTTCATTGCCTGTAGCACAGGCTTTTGGCTCTTGTTTTAATTGGAGCTGTGCATTTGAATATTTATAAGTGTGATTTGCAAGCCTACAAATCAAATTATTTTCTGTATAGGATACCAACCAGAAAAAATGGCACTGTTTTTTGGAAAAACAATATGGTGTGTGGGATGGAATGAGGTTATGGTAACAAAATTTTCCTGACCCTAAGTTGGGCTGTGTTCTGACACATGGTTTGATAAGGCAAAATATTTTAAATCAGTGGACTCAAGGAAAAGCCAGGACATATGGCTGTCTTAGTTTGGGTACTAAAATAAAATCCTATATTCAGACACCATCTCTTTAGTAAATTAGACAGCACTACCCCAATACGTTCATGGATTTCTTGATTTATTGTTTCAGTTGCTTCTTAGCAAGATATAGAAGCCCTTCAATACATGTTTCTAGCCTCATGATTCTATTCTCTCTCACAGCCTAGCCTCATCCATTCTAAACTACTTAGTTTCACCGTATATGATGAGCAGGAAGCCCAGAATTCTGGTAATTTTCTGTTTCTGGGTCTGGGTGCTGGTTCAAAGACGTGTTCAGTTTGTGCACATTCATTGCAGGTTTTACTTATGCATATTGCTTTTCAGTACAAATTTTAAAAAGCAATCAAAATTCAGTAAGTCATGATATTCAGTAAGATATAATATTCTGATAATCTGACCTTGGAAAAGTTTTAAAAATTGTTGGTGTTTGACAGATAATTTCTGCAGAGAAGAAAACTATAAATTTTTTTGGTGGGATGGGGGAGGACATATGAGAGTTTGTGTCTAGCTCAGTAGGAGGAATTTTTTAAAAAGGAACTTAAGCATAGGTGGGCCAGGGAAAGAGGTTTTAGCTCATTTCACTTTGTTCCTTTTGATTTAATGCAAGGAATTACTCAAGAGCAGAAAGGGATCACGGCGGGAGAAGTTCAAAGTATGGGTGAGGAGGAATGGTGTAGCCAAGTCCCAGAGAAGGTGTGAGGATGGGATCAGCGCAAAGGTAGAAAGTGTGGGGCATTAGAAGAGGATCAAATTCTCTCCTTAGAAATGGCAGGGATGGGAAGAAAGATACTGAGGCTCTCATATGTGTCTAAGTCCATTTGGGATATTAAAGTGTAGGAGGTGAGTGTGGAAGTGGGAGTTGAGAAGCAAGAGGGATTAACAGAAATGTTCTCAGAGGACTTATCTGTGTGATAAGATAGGAATGAAAGTTTTGCCTGAATGGCTAGGGGGCTCCATTATGAATGCCATTGTGGTTTTATGGTGCAGTCCTTTGGAGTTCAGGGTGAAACTGAAGGAAAGTAATCAGGAGGGGTGCCCAGACAATGCTGGGCATAAGTAAAGCTCTAAGGGGTGAGGCATCAGGGTGTTGTGAAGGACCTGTACATGATAACCCCGCACAGTCTCCAAAACTGTTTGGCAGGAATTCACTGAAGTACAGTGGGACGTGTAAAATTGGAGACTTAGAGAGGGCCCAAGGGATTAAGGGTTGAGGTCAGTGGGTACCATGTTCTGTCTCTGCAGGGGAGGGGAGAGATGCCACTTGGTGTAGACTTCAGGTCTTTTCTAAATTTTAATTGTCTCACTCCCTCTATCCTAGAGTAAGCATGTCATCGTGGCCATAATTTCTCTACAAAAAGTGCCTTAGGAAACAAAAGCTTGGGGCAATTTTTTTTCAGTACAGAGATGAGCCCCTCATGTTCCATAGCAGCTGCATAGCAGTCCTCAGGGTTATATAGATATGGAGTTACATCTGGACATCCCATTAGCTCCAAGAGGTTCAAGACAGCAGGCCTAATATTCCAGCATCAAAAAAGAGGTTCTACAAAGGTTGATTACTCCAAGTACAAGATCCCTGTGCCACCAGAGACCTGTGAATAGAATGGTTTTCTTAAACTAGATGCCAGGTCCCTCATTTCTAAATACACTGTCAGATATGCTCTTTTTATTTTGTAAAAGGTAAGCTTCAAACATATTCTTTTTACTAATGGAAGCACTGAATCAAGATTCAGCTTAGCTCTTGGGTTATTTGCCCTGACCATCCTTTCATGCAGAGCTGGTTTTTTATCCAAACATAACCCTTCTGTCAACATCATCATCATCATCAGCTGTTTGCTTATACTCCAAATTCTTATATTACACACTTTCAGCATCATTACCCCAAATTGGAGAATTTCAGGCAGAATCATCTGTGAAAATATTAGAGGTAAAAATAAGCTATTATAGGGTGTTGATGTCACCCTGAGGCCTTGTTTGCTACTTTTCTGCTCATTTTACTGCATTTAACTCACGAGAAAAGGAACTAAACTATAATCAACTGCAATTTATCAGTGTTAATGGGGGAGAGACGAGGCATTGGCAATACAAGATAGCAAATAATAAGAGATGAATGCAAGAAAAAGATAACATATGCATACTTTAAAAAAGATTATAAATATGTAAATATCTGCCCTAATAATGTTGCAATTCAACTGGATATTCTGTGGTCTGGGAAGGGGAAAGAGGTAGAGCAAGATTACCTAGGGTTGCTGTGCATTTTGGTCATTGGCAGACGCACGGGGAGCTGTGTTAGAAAGCCCAGCAAGCGGAAAATTGAGAGCTGACTTGCCGCCAACTACAATTGAAAACAGATGGGTATATCTGAGCCATGTTCACGTATCTTGTTCATTTTCTCATTAAAAAAATTGCTGCACTATTTTTAGTCTATGACTCATTTTTCGGCAAGAATCACCTGCAAGTAGATCTTAATTTTCTGCTGAACTTCAGGGAAAATTCAAGTTCAGCATGGCCTTCAAGAACTTTGACTCCTACAGAAATGGACAAAAAGGTTGGCAGGTGTCAGTCTGATGAAGGGGCTGAGATCTTGACTGCCCTTGAGGGATGCCAGTATGAGATGGCTGTGGGGCAGGCTGTGGCTGCTTGTTGGAGGGAGGCAGCATTGTTTGCATCTTGACATCTCATTTCTGTAGGAAGGCATGGATCATTTTACTAGACCCTGTGAATAAGTCAAAATAAATCAAGATCTGCATTAGAACCGAAATCTCGATTACTTTTTTTGTCAGTTTTGCTTAGGCTGTATATATAAAAATGGGAAAAAAGGGCAGACACAGAACGTCAAAGAAACCAGCTCTTTATGTTTTAATTGCAGCCAAAAAAAAAACCAGCTATATAGGAGCTTATGGTTTTAATACTCTCAATATGAGACAAACCTAAGCATTCCCACTGAGTTTCTCCCTTTCTAAGATGTCATTTCCTCCCCATCCTTAACTGTCAGGTGTTGTATCATGTTGACCCATGATATACCCTTCACCCTTGAAAGCTCATACTCCAGAGAATCATAGTTTCTTAATATTTGTTTTATTAAGTGCCACCTTCCAAGATACAGTCCTTGCTGTAGCCAATTAGCTAGTTCACTGGCTCATGAGAAGCTGCAATGCTTCTAGAAGCAATAAAATTAAAGAACAGTGCTCTCTTAAAAAGGCAGGGAGAAGTGGCAGGGCATTCTGTTGTTGCTGTTGTCCTTGTGAGCTGTCCTTCATGTTTGAGAAGCAGGGGCTGTCAAGAGCTTTACTGTACCCTTTGATGTATGAAGAATCCAATTTAGAGCTTAGTCTGTGCACATTTTCCAGTGACTAAGCCAGTCATTTGGGTTAGGGGAGTGGTATTTGTAAGGAGGTCTTTACAGCAGAGATTTTTTTTTTTTCCTTGATAGGTATGAAAGAAACTGGTTAGCTCTTAACCAAAGCCATTTTCTCTTCCCTCTGAGCCCAGAGTTAGATCATTTTCCAGCCCTATTGTGGTGAGGTGTGGCCATGTGACTGAGATCTGACTGATGGAATGTGCTAAGAGTCGTGTTCACACCTCTTGGCTTGGCTCATAAAAACTGCACAATATGGCCCCCCATGGTTTTTCCCCTCTGACTTGATGCAGACAAGCGTAGTAACCTGAGGAACCTGGCATTGGAGATGATGAAGCTGTGAGCCAGAAGAAGCCTGGGTCCCTGAGTCACTGGAGATCTGCCCTCTGTTAGGGAATAACCTGTTTGTGAACACAATACACATCTAGTCTCTGAAGCCACTAAGATTTAGCATTTTATCTGTTATATCTTTAGCTAGTTCTTCCTTACCTAAAACATAGAACAAGTATATGCCTATATTTAATGTGTACTGAAATTATATTTGATTCATAGTGGCAAGCAATTTTAGATTCACCTTTGTTAAAACAAACAAAGGTCTATGTATTAATATTTGCAAGAGTCATTTATTTCAAATCTTTTTAAGACATGTGATTTCTAAAAGTCAGTTAACTTTAGTGACCAGAAGGCTTCCATGTGTGAAGCACTTTTAAGGGTATTGGGTGCAGATAATAGGCATAGATAAAGGTTGATGAGGTCTCTAACTGGAGAGGAAAAATAAACCTACAAGAATATACTAAAGAAACACATGAAAACAAGGATAAATGAATAAAGTACATACACCATGTAAATTAATGTTCAGAGCTCAAAAAGAATTGTTACAAGAGGGGCTAAGGAGTTTTGAGACTTGCCAAAGATGCCTGAAAAGCTTGAAGCTAACTTGAGCTGAGGAATCAGCACTTGAACTCATGGAGCTAAATTGATTTCGGTTTCCTTCTGAGGCTGACTCAGGATTGGGGGACACAGAAAAGGATGGATTACAGTGACAGTGAGAGTGATATTGTTTTCTACCTAAGGTCTCACCCTGGAGGTTGTCTTCCTGGAGATTTTAAAAACTAGACTCCTGAAATATACTTTAGTCCTTTTAGGTTGCCCATGTAGAAAAAATTGAATGCCACTCATATGAGAAAAGCAAAGGTGATTTATTCAGCGCTTGCCATAGCAAAGGAGTTGGCCACCATCACTTTCATTTGGCAGAGACTCAAAGGTAGGCAGAGGAGCGAGAGAGCTTTACAGTGGGCAAAAGGGATGGCTTCACGTGTGCCCCTTATTGGAAGCTGTTGGCCAGGGGAAGCCCAGGGTGGCCAATTTGGAGCACGGAAGCCTGTCTGATTGGTTGGGGCCATAGTTGGCTTTCTCTGGTTAGTCCTAAATTAGAAGCAGTCACAAAAATTAGGGAGGCTGTCAGTTACTGTGATGGTTAATTTTATATGTCAACTTGACTGGGCTAAGAGGTGCCCAGATAGCTTGTAATCAATTATTTCTGGGTGTGTCTGTGAGGGTTTTTCTGGAAGAGATTAGCATTTGAATGAGATGACTGAGTAAAGAAGATTACCCTCACCCACGTGGGCATCATCTGATTCCTTGACAGCCCAAATAGAACAAAAGGGCACAGGAAGTTCTCTCTTCTGGGACATCCATCTTTTCCTGCCCTTAAACATCAGAGCTTCTGGTTCTCAGGCCTTTGGACTCCAGGACTTACTCCAGCAGTTGGCAGGTGGGGCAGGCTCCCGTGGTTCTTAGGCCTTCAGCTTTGGACTGAATTATACAACCACTACAACCAGCTTTCCTGGTTCCCCAGGTTGCAGATGGCATATCTTGGGACTACTCAGCCTGCATAATCTGCATAATGGCATGAGTCAATTTCCATAATAAATTTCCACATATATATGTATGTATGTACAGGCATACATGTATATGTAATATATATGTAATATATATGTATACATGTATATGTGATATATATGTATACATATATATGTGATATATATGTATACATATATATGTGATATATATGTATACATATATATGTGATATATATGTATACATATATATGTGATATATAGGTAATATATGTGTAATATATAGGTAATATATGTGTAATATATAGGTAATATATGTGTAATATATAGGTAATATATGTAATATATGTGTATACATATATGTTATATATGTGTATACATATATGTAATATATATGTGTATATATATATGTATAAACACACATCTTATTGGTCTTGTTTCTTTGGAGAATCCTGACTAATACAATTATTAATTAAGTCCTGAACATTTTGGGTCTTTTGTTACAGAAGTTATTGTTTAGCTTCCTGGGTTATCACTAGAGATAGCAGACTGGCTTCCTGCGAGTCTGGCTTTAGCAGGCTGTCTTCCTGGGCTGTTTGTCATACATAATGGGCTTGGTTTCCTAAGCAGGCTGCTACAGATTTAGGGTGATAGTTCTATTCTTATTATATGGTCCAGGCACTGTGCATTTGTACATTCAGTCTTTCATTTGTTTCTTCATTTTTATGATGATTTTATTTTAAATAGACCCTTTCCTTCCTTCCTTACAGAGGACAGCTGGCTGGCTTCCTTCACTTTCATATTAATAAGCCTCAATCCTTGCTGATCATAAACCCGCACCTGAGGATGAGTGCCAGGAAATGCAATGCCTTCTTCCCTCCTGGGTTGCCTCTTTCAGAGATTTGGGGGTAAAACTTGTGTCTGCATTATTGCCCTGCGGAAAGTCTTAATCCCATCAGTCCTCAAAATCTTTTTCACTGTTTCTGTTTTTCCCAGGGGCAGTGGCATCCTCATGCAAGCTGGTCTACTGGTGGCTGCCCCTGTGACCTGCTTCTGAATGGCCAGGCAGGAAAAGTCTCCCACTGTGTTGCATTTAAAGAAAAGAAAAAGATGAATTAAGTAAAAAGCTCTGCAAACAACTGAGTGTAATTATTGGATATGTATAAACTTATGCATATTTTCCTTTTTTTAATTATACTTTAAGTTCTAGGGCACATGTGCACAACGTGCAGGTTAGTTACATATGTATACATGTGCCATGTTGGTGTGCTGCACCCATTAACTCGTCATTTAACATTAGGTATATCTCCTAATGCTATCCCTCCCCCCTCCCCCCACCCCACAACAGGCCCTGGTATGTGATGTTCCCCTTCCTGTGTCCATGTGTTCTCATTGTTCAATTCCCACCTATGAGTGAGAACATGCGGTGTTTGGTTTTTTGTCCTTGCGATAGTTTGCTGAGAATGATGGTTTCCAGCTTCATCCATGTCCCTACAAAGGACATGAACTCACCATTTTTTATTTGAATCTGTTGATTTATTGCTTTTTAAATAAAAAATGGATCTGTCCAAAAGGTGAAAATAAAGTATTTTATATTTCTTTCTTATTTCAGCTGGTTTAGCCTAAGGACAGAAAACCCCCAGCCCGTTTAGTATTCTAGGCATTTAAAAGACCCTCAAGTATCAGCTCTTTGGAAGCCCAGTGTCTTTAAATTTGCAAAATAGACAGGGCAAGATTCCATGTTTCTAACTCCCTGGGACTCATTTCAGGAGTTTGATTAACTCTTTGGTTTGTCTCAGCAAAGGGAGGCTGAAGTGTCCGCTTAGAAGAAGAGGTAGGGGGCATTCAGATGAGGGCTGTTGTCTGCCAAGATCAAAGCAGCGCTGCACATGCTAAAGAGTCTAATTCACAGACCCTCGGTGCTTAGTTGTAGCACCAACTTGAAGCCTATTTGGTCAGAAGTGGCCACTCGAGCTGTCTTAGGGCTAGGCAAGGGCTTCTTTGTTTCAGAAAGCACTTGCCACTGGGAGAAGAGAATGTGAAGTGAGGGAGCCCTCTTTTGGAGGAGGAAGGCTAAGGAGGAAAGTGAGGGAGAGTGGGAAAGACCACAGGACAAGAAGATCTAAGCCAAGGGAGCCTTGTTTGCCTTTACTGGCAGGTAGGTACTCACGAAGAAGCCAGCCTGCATTTCTGAACTCACATCGTGGCAAAAGCAACAAACACTTTTAAGACAAAAGATAAAGGGTAAACTACTTATGGGAAACACTTTTCCAAAAATACCTAGATTCTAGGTGACAGGGTTAGAATTGTTCTCTTGTCATTTGGCTAACATAAGGGACTCCCAAGACAAGAGCAGAGAGGGTGGAGATGGTTATGTGTCAGTTGGAGCGAGGTGGGAGCAGGAACCTCCTATTTAGGGCACAAATCTTTACACAGGGATGACATTTGAAAGATTTGGTCATGGACCTGGGTCCACTTCCTTTGCTTTTCAGAAAAGGTCCCAAGATTAGCAGCAAAAGTAATCCAGGTGAAAATAATCCATGAATTTGAACACTTTGTTGGGTGTAGTAGGGAGATTCTGACAGGTGCCTGATGACCCTATGTCCTGGTACCCACACCTTTGCTTAATCTCCTCCCTTCAAGTGGGGATTCACTTTTAATGTGACTCACTTTTAATGAACAGAATACAGCAGAAGTGCTGGGATGTCATTTCTGGATGATGTTGTGCAAGACTGTGACTTCTATCTGGGACACACTCCTTTTCAAATCCTCACTTGCCCACTCTGGTGAAGCCACTGCCACATCGCCAGCTGCCCTACAGAGAGGCCACGTGGCAAGATGCTGAGGGCAGCTTCTGGCTGATAGCTGTAAGGAACAGAGGGTCTCAGCCCAACAGCTTGCAAAGAACTGAATTCTGGCAACAACCTTGTGAGTGAGTGTGGAAGTGGCTCCTATTGAGCCTTGAGATGGCTACAATCTACTGTCACTGTGATTCAGTAAATGCAAGTCCTAAACCATGCCCAGCTTCCTGAATTTCAGGATATGTGAGATGAAAGTGTTGTTGCTTAGGAGTATTTGTTCCACAGCAATAAATAACTAATACACTAAGGTATTATTATTTTACTGTACCTTCTCTGCTTTGTGCACCTATTTGTCTGCTGAGTCCTATAAAGATTTATTCTTCAAAGTTTTCATTTCTTCCCTCCTTTCCGGTTTTATAGACACAGTCTATTCCAAGAAAAGCTTTAAACTTCCTGGGAAATTATAGGGAAATAAATTAGATGTCCTGACGTCTGCAGAATGTCCTCTAGACAGTGTCCTCATTATGCTGCCCCTGGTTCTTCCAGTTCATCAAATCTCATTTAGCTGTGCACCAATTAGACTGCCTTTGGCTGGAAGTGACATAAAGCTGAAAAATAGTGGATTATATAAGCCAATAGCTTATTTTTCTCACACAACAAAAAGTCTGGAGTTGAGTTGTCAAGGATGTTATTCTGTCTGAGTTGATAAACTTTGTTAAAGGTCAGAGAGTATTTTAGGCTTTGTGGGCTGTACCATCTCTGCTGCAATTACTAAATTCTGCCTTTAGGGCACAAAAGCAGCACAGATCATATGTAAACAAATGACTGCGTACCAATAAAACTTTATTTATGGACAATGAAATACAAATTTCATGTTATTTTTATGTCATAAAATATTATACATTTTAAAAATTTCCTGTAACCATTAAAACATGTAAAAGCTATTCCTTTTGTAGGCTGTATAAAAACAGGCAAGCTGGATTTGCTGGCCTTTGTATTAGCTTCCTTCCACCTTCCTACATTCTCATTTTCAGTGCATGGCTTGGTCTTCATGGGCACATTGTGACTGCTGCTGCTCCATTCACTGTGTTGGCATTTCAGGCAAAGAGAAAGGGGAGGGTGAAAGAAAAAGGAGTGTCGCCTAGATCAGATCAACAAAAGCCTTCCAGAAAACTTCAGCTTATGTCTCAATAGGCAGAACTATGTTAACGTTTTTAGCTGGGCTTATAGCAAACCTGATCAAATTTGGGGTTCTATTAGTAAGAATAGAAAGAATGGATATTGGATAACATCATTCAGATTGTAAGTGGTGAAAATGGAATTTGAACCTCTAGACCAGTGATTCTCAATGGGATGATCAACCCTTACCCTTCCCAGGGGGCATTTGGCCACATCTGGAGATATGTTTGGTCATCACAACTGGTGTGTGTGGGTGCTACTGGCATCTCATGGGTAGATGCCAGGGATACTGCTAAACATCTGCAATACAGAATTAACCAGCACAAAAGTCAATAGTGCTGAGCTTTGGACAACACAGGAGACTCTGTCTAAAAAAAAAAAAAAAATAAGAGCCAAGCTTGAAGAACGTTTCTTAGTCACTCTGCTATTCTCAACTATTTCTTTATCCAGCTCTCAGCTCTTTCTTTATTCAGTTCCCATATATTTTCTACACATCCGACAAAGATAATTTAAAGACAAACTGATACTTTTCCAGGTTTCCTCAGGTCTTGTATGCCATTCTGTAATAACTTTAGGAGTAAGGAAAGAATCTAAGAATTAACTACTTGGTTATTCTTGGCTAAGAATTAATTACTTGGTTTTTTAAAGAAGTTAGTTGTGGAATGAATACTGTTTAAAACATAAATGTAATATAATAATAAAAAAACCCAGAATCTCTCCCCACTTTGATCCAGAGAAAGCAAATTTCTGTGAATGCATGGTGAAGTTGAAAAGGAATGTTAATGTGCCAATTCAGTGAAATACCAACATCTCTGGGAGGTGGCCTCTGTGGGTTGTGACAGTACTAAGGAAGAGAGAAGACAGTGCAGATGCTGACTGGCTTTTCTTAAAGCCTAAAGAACTGGCATTATGTGAAAGAATTAGCAACAAATGGAAAAGACAGGGTGGAGGTGGAGGTATAAGCCCAGAAGAGTATTCTTGAATTTTTTTGGCTAGAAATATACCTCCAAATACACCTGCCGGATACTATAAAAATCTGAACATCACCAAGGAATGTAGTCACCAGATTGTCTAAAGTCAATGCTAAAGAAAAAGTCTTAAAGGCAGCTAGAGAAAAAGGTCAGATTATGTACAAAGGGAACCCCATCGGGCTAACAGCAGACTTCTCAGCAGAAACCCTATAAGCCAGAAGAGATTGAGGACCTATTTTCAGCATCTTTAAGGAAAAAAAAAAAAAAGAAACTCCAAACAAGAATTTCATACCCAACCAAACTAAGTTTCATAAGCAAAAGAGAAATAAAATCTTTCTCAGAAAAACAATCACTAAGGGAATTTACTACCATTAGACCAGCCTTGCAAGAGATCCTTAAGGCAATTCTAAACATGGAGATGAAGGAACAACATAATCCACAGACCCTTTGAAGCAACACACAAAAGAAACTATAAAACAGCTAACTAGCAACTTCATGATAAGATCAAAGCCTCACATATCAATATTAACCTTGAATGTAAATGGTCTTAATGCCCATTTAAAATGTACAGAGTGGCAAGTTGTGTTAAAAAAACACCACCACCACCACCCATTCATCTGCTGTATTTAAGAAACCCATCTCACACATAACAACACTCATAGACTCAAGGCTGGAGAAAGATCATGCAAACAGAAAACACAAAAGAGCAGGGGTTGTTATTCTTATATCAGGTAAAATAGACTTTAACAACAGTTAGAAGGAGGACAAATAATGGCACTACAGCATGATAAAGGGTTCAATCCAACAAGATGACATAAGTATTGTAAATATATACACATCCAACATTGGAGCACCCAAGTTCATAAAACAAGTACTTCTAGATCTATAAGAAGACTTAGCCACACAATAATAGTGAGGGACTTGAACACCCTCTGACAGTGTTAGATCATTGAGGCAAACAACTAACAAAGAAATTCTGGACTTAAATTTGACACTTGACCAATTGAACCTGATAGACATCTACAGAACACTCTATCCATCAACCACAGAATACATATTATCCTTATCTGCACAGGGAACATACTCTGATTGACCACATGCTCAGTCGTAAAACAAGTCTCAGTAAATTCAAAAAATTGAAATCATATCAACCATACATTCAGACCATGGTGGAATAAAAATACAAATAAGATCGGGCACGGTGGCTCACGCCTGTAATCCCAGCACTTTGGGAGGCCAAGGCAGGTGGATCACGAGGTCAGGAGATTGAGACCATCCTGGCTAACATGGTGAAACCACGTCTCTACTAAAAATACAAAAAAATTAGCCAGGTGTGATGGCGGACACCTGTAGTCCCAGCTACTCGGGAGGCTGAGGCAGGAGAATGGCGTGAACCTGGGAGGCAGAGCTTGCAGTGAGCCGAGATCGCACCACTGCACTCCAGCCTGGGCAACAGAGCGAGACTCCATCTCAAATAAATAAGTAAATGAATAACAAGAAGATCTCTCAAAACCACACAATTACATAGAAATTAAACAACCTGCTCTTGAATGACTTTTGGGTAAACAGTAAAATTAAGACAGAAATTTAAGAACTCTGAAATAAATGAAAACAGAGACACAACATATCAAAATCTCTGGGATGCAGCTAAAGCAGTGTTAAGGGGAAAGTTTATAGCGATAAACACCTACATGAAGAAGTTAGAAAGATCTCAAATTAACAATGTAACGTTGCACCTGAAGGAACTAGAAAAACAAGAACAAACTAACTGCAAAGCTAGCAGAAGAAAAGAAAAACTAAAATCAGGGTAGAACTGACCAAAATTGAGACACAAAAAGTAATACAAAGAATCAACAAAAACAAAAGCTGGCTTTTTTGAAAGGATAAATAAGATTGATAGATTGCTATCTAGATTTACAAAGAAAAAATGGGAGGAGATCCAAATAAGCACAATCAGAAGCAACAAAGGTTAAATTAGAACTGATCCTACAGAAACATAAAAGATTCTCAGATTATTATGAACACCTCTAACAAACTAGAAAATCTAGAGGAAATGGGCAAATTCCTGAAAACATACAACCTCCCTAGTCTGAGTCAGAAGATAAAACCCGGAACAGACCCAACTTCAGTAAAGATCCAGGATATAAAAATAAATGTACAAAAATCAGTAGCATTTCTACACCCCAATAACGTTCAACCTGAGACCCAAATTAAGAATGCAATCCCATTTATAATAGCCACAGACACACACACACAAACCTGGAAATATATCTAACCAAAGATATAAGAGATCTCCACAAGGAGAACTACAAAATGCTACTGAAAGAAATCATAGATGATACAAACAAATAGAAAATGTCCCATGCTCATGGATTGGAAGAATCATCATTAAATGGCCATACTGCCCAAAGCAATCTAAAGATTCAACACTATTCCTATCGAACTAGTAGTGTCATTTTTCACAGAATTAGAAAAAAACTATTCTATAATTCATATGTCACCAAGAAAGAGCCCAAATAGACAAAGCAATTCCAAGTGAAAAGAACAAAGCTGGAGGTATCACACTACCCAAGTTTAAACTATGCTACAAGGCTACTGTAATCAAAACAGCACTGCACTAGTACAAAACAGGCACATAGACCAATGGAACAGGATGGAGAACCCAGAAATAAAGCTGCACATCTACAGCCATCTGATCTTTGACAAAGTTGCCTATGGGGTTTTCTAGGTGCTGGGATAACTGGCTGGCCATATGCAGAAGAATGAAACTGGACTCCTATTTCTCACTATATACAAAAATTAACTCAAGATGAATTAAGACTTAAATGTACAACTACTCCGTGTTTTTGGCCTGAGCAATTAGAAAGTTGGAGTTGCCATTTAATGAGAGAAGAAAGACTGTGGGAGGAGCCAGGGTGTATAGGGAAGTTCAAGAGTTTATTTCTGGACATAAAAGTTTGATATGCTAATTACATGTCCAAGTAGAGATGTCGGGTTAACTGCTGGTTATGGGAGATTCAAGTTCAGAGGCAATGTCTGACTTCAGTGGCAATTGTCTGATACATAATTTTAGGACTCATTAGTATTTAAGGCCAATTAGGGAGACAATTCGTGAACTGGAAGATTGGTTTGAAGGAATGAAAAATGTGGCAAAGAGTGATAAAACGATAGGAAATAAGAAACAGACGAATAGGCCTGGAGGAAAGGAACAGGATGCTCCAACATATGTCAAGAGGAGAGAGCAGAAAGAGAAGATAGTAACAGTGGGAGAAGAAATGATACTTGGAAAAAATATGGCTAATAGTTTTCCAGAATTGATGAGAGATATGAATGTGTACATTAGAAAATCCGGAGAATATCAAGCAGAGTGAATAAAAGTGAAAGTAAACTTTGATATACCAGAGTGAAATTGAAGATTAGAACAAATAAACCCCCCAAATCTTAAAAAGCATAGAAAAGAACAGATGAGGCTGGGCACAGTGGCTCATGACTGTAATCCTAACACTTTGTGAGGCTGAGGTGAGTAGATCACCTGAGGTCAGGAGTTCGAGACCAGCCTGGCCAAAATGGTGAAACCCGGTCTCTACTAAAAATACAAAAATTAGCCAGGCATGGTGGCATGTGTCTGTAATCCCAGCTACCTGAGAGGCTGAGGCGAGAGTATCACTGGAACCCAGGAGGTGGAGGCTGCAGTGAGCCGAGATCATACAACTGCACTCAAAACCTGGGCGATAGAGAGAGACCTTGTCTCAGGAAAAAAAAAAAAAAAAAAAAAAATCAGATTCATCTAATTGTCAACTAGATTGATGGTTCACTTCTCAATAGCAAAAATAAAAACCAAAAGCACTAGAACTGCCAAAGTATTGAGAGAAAATAACTGTCATGCTGCATAGCTAACCTATCATTCAAGAACAAAGGAAAAATAAAGATATTTTCAGGCAGACTTAAAAAAATCTTCTGAAGAATATATTTCAGGAAGAAGGAAGTTAAGTGAGCTGCAAAAACCAATAGTGAGGTGCGGGGAAAAGACAAGTGTATGGGAAATCTAACCAAATAATAAATATACAGAACAACAAAAATAAGAATAACAGATCCAGATTATGGGGAAAAGACAGAGGTAAATTGCTGGCAGTAATAATATATAAGATCAGAGACAGATAATCAAAGTTAAAAGTTTCTTGCAGTGATTGTGACTAGAATTGAGCTACTGATTAGATTTTGTTTTCTTTTTTCTTCTTCAAATTTTATTTTAAGTTCAGGGGTATATGTGCAGGATGTGCAGGTTTGTTACATAGGTAAATGTGTGCCATGGTGTTTTGCTGCATAGATCATCCCATCACCTAGGTATTAAGCCTAGCATCCATTAGCTATTCTTTCTGATGCTCTCTCTCTCCCAACCCCCACCAAAAGGTCCCAGTGTGTGTTTTTCCCCACTATGTGTCCATGTGTTCTCATCATTCGGCTCCCACTTATAAGTGAGAACACATGGTGTTTGGTTTTCTGTTCAGGTAATAGTTTGCTGAGGATAATGGCTTCTAACTCCATCCATGTCCCTGCAAAGGACATTATCTTGTTCTGTTTTACGGCTGCCTAGTATTCCATGTCGTATATGTACCACATTTTCTTTATTCAGTCTATCACTGATGCACATTTAGGTTGATAGCTATTGTGAATAGTGCTGCAACGAACATATGCATGCATGTATCTTTATAATAGAATGATTTATATTTCTTTGGGTATATGCCCAGTAATGAGATTGCTGGGTCAAATAGTATTTCTGCTTCTAGATCTTTGAGAAACTGCCACACTGTCTTCCACAATGGTTGAACTAATTTACACTCCCACCAACAGTGTAAAAGCATTCCTTTTTCTCCTCAAGCTTGCCAGCATCTGTTATTTTTTGACTTTTTAATAATAGCCATTCTGACTGGTATGAGATGACATCTTATTGTGGTTTTCATTTGCATTTCTCTGATGATCAGAGATATTTGTTAGTGAGGTGTGTGGGTTGTCAAATGTAACACTAAAAAATAAAACTTCCAGATCATTGGAGGTTAAAAAAAGAAATAAAACTTGGCCAATGTAATATAGAGAAGAGAAAATGAAAGGGGCAGATAAAAGCATAATAAACAGAAATAACAAAATATAGAAATTAAAATTTCAATACTTATGATCTCTGTAAACAAACTCACTATTTTTAAAAGACAGAATCAGATTGGCTAAACAAAATCTGTAAATATGTTGCACTTAGGTGTGTGATGGTCATTTCAAACTTAGGAAACAAAACTTATTTCCCAGTTCTTCATCTGTCCATGTCAAGAGGCCTACTGCAGTCATGTTCCTGGCCTCTGGCCCTAGTGCTTATGGCTTCTTCCCATAACCAATGGCCCCGGATTTCCTAGAGTGAGTCAAACGAATCTAATAAAATGTTGCAAAGCCTGGAAATCCACTTCTTTTCTTCCCTCTCTGCCTTGGATCTGTACAAGGCAGCAATACTGGGGAAGTGTGTCTTCCCTTAGATTTAGACTTTTCCTTGGGTGTGCTCTTCTAAGGTCTGGACTAGAAGGTAGAGGCAGAGAGACAGACAGACAGACAGACAGACACACACACACACACACACACACACACACACACAGAGAGAGAGAGAGAGAGAGAGAGAGAGAAAGAACCAGCCCAACTGGCTTTCACAACGAAGCCATATTCTCCAAACATCTTTAGTAAGAAAGGTGATGGTAGATCTCTTTGCTTGGCCCTAGAAACCTTTGGTTTCAAACCAGAAATTGGAATTGAGGTGTTGGTTTTTAAGCCTCCTCCCAACCCAACAAGATTTCCAAACTGTACTCCGGGTCTTCTTCTTAAACTTGCTCCTCCTGCAGTCTTGCATCTCATAAAATGGCTATTCAATTCTTCTAATCACCCTGGAGTCATCCTTGATGTGCCCTTTCCATCACATCTTACATCCAACCCAACAGCAAATCATCTTGGTTCTGCCTTCAAGATACATTTAGAATCTGACCGTGGCTCCCTACTTTCAGTGCTGCCCCCCACCCCGCTCAGCCATCCATGGAAGTTTCTCACCTGGAATATTGTAATAATGTGTTCTTCAATGCAAATCAGATCTGGTCACTCGTCCACTCCATTTCACTCAGAGGAAAGTCCAGCATCCTTATCGTCACCTCAAGACCTTTTGGGAGCTGTCCCTCCATCTCGCTGGCCCACCCCAGACCTCCTCTCCTGTGCTCTCCCTGTGACCCTTCACTCTACTTACAGAAGTGGGATTGGCCACCTGCTATCTCCAAGTGTACCCAAGCCTACTTTTGACTGTGGGCTTGTTCCCCAGCTCTTCCTTAAGCCTGGGGTCTGTTTTCCTAGGTATTTCCCTGGCTTGCTCCCTGGTTTCCCTGGCTTCTCAAATACCACTGTATCTGCAAGTTCTTCACTGACTACCCTCCACAAAACAGTACGCCCTCCCACTCCCCCATACCCTCTTACTCTAATTTGTTTTTCTTCATACCTCTTGTATTACCTTGTTAGTTGTTGTCTTTCTTCCTCTCCTGCCCTCTGACTGCCCCTTGTAGACTGTAAACTCCTTGATTGCAGGGACTTTGTTTAGTTCACTTCTGTTCTCCCTTTGCCTAGAACTGTACCTGGCACAGAATAATCAGTGAATAATAGTTTTGTTTTGAGTTAACTGTGAATGCTATTTGTGAGAATTAATCCTAAAATATGGAATAGGAAAAGGTTGAGTTGAAACTGAAAACATTATTCCAGGAAAATATTAACCGGAGTGGCTGGCAGTGTTAATGCCAGGCCACACAGACTTTAATGAGAAAACAAAATTTAGGAGAGAGACAATCACTATACGAAGAGAAAAAAAGAAAAATCTCTAGTAAGATACTAGAATTCTAAACCTGTTTCCACCCATGTTACCACTTGGCTCTGTATGATGCAAACATTTTAAATGACATTTGGAAGTGGACAGATCTACAGTCATGATGAGGGATTTGGCATGCCGTGCTCAGTAATTCATAGTATAAACAAAAATACTAGGCAGGATATGGGAGATTAAAATTTGAAAGCTTAATATAATGGATACACATCCTTGCTCCCAACATGTAAAGAATTCTTGAACTTTCATGACACATGAAACAATTTCCTAAATAGTGACACTAGAGCAAATTTTAATAAATGCCAAAAACTGATATCAAACATGCCATGTTCCCTCGGTGCAATCATACCACAGTGCAATCAAATTAGAAAGCCATATAAAATATTAATCCTTATCCATAATTTAAAATTTTAAAACACAATTTTAAGTATCCCATGGGTCAAAGAAGAGTCCATTATGAAAATCCAAAAATATCTGGAAGTGAATGATAGCACCAGTGTTACGGAACACAACTCATGGGATGCAGTTAAAACTGGAAAGATGGCTGTATCCTAAATACCTCCATTAGAAAGGAAGAGGACCACAGAATCAGAACTAAGTGTCCAAATGAAGACTCTTGAAAAAACTCAAACTTCATTTTTTTCTTCTCATTTTAAAAGAAATGAAAACTTGTTCTGGCCCCTAAAAGTATTGCTGGCTGTCATCCCTGGTTCTATGATGCATGTGTAGGCTGAGATTCAGCTAAATGGAGCATCTATGGCAAGAGGCTTCAAGGAAAGCATGAAGAAAATCCAGTAAGTTCTCATGTCCCACTCATGCATTTCTTATCCAGCCTTCCAGCTGGAGTGCAGTACGCAGTCGCTGAGTTGATCCTGACGGCATGTCGTCTCAAGGACCAAGATTGTTGGTGACTTTTTCTGTGTGTGATGAATCGTGAAGTGACTTGGCAGAAGTGAGAAGATGCAAATAGGCAATTAGCTTCTGAAAGTTAAAAATTGATGCAGTAGAAGAAAAATAATATTTTTGCTTATCCTCTATTTTCCATATCAAAATAAGATAAACATAAGTGACAGAAACTTTGCTTTTAAAGACAAGTAAGGAGGCAAGGTAGATGTCTGCTCTGAATTCATCATTCACATGGCTAACTTTCTCCCGTCCTTTGGGTCTTTACTGAAATGTCATTTTATCCCAGAAGACATCTCTGACCACCATGTGTAAAATGACAACATCCCCTAACATGAAACACCCCAAAGCCCCTTGCTCTCCTTTATTGATCTCTGTGCCCCATCAGGAATGGGAACTGACTTGGCAATTACTTGGTGTCGGTGTCTTGTTCATCGTTGTTCCTACAACCTATGGTCGTGGTTGACATAAATATTTACATCTCAATTGGTGTTTGATGAATAAAACATAAATGTATTTGCTAGAGTATTTATTAAAATGGGGCTCTTGGACTTGAACCCTTGGCAGTTCCAAATGCTGACCACATTAGAAGCTTCAACTATCATCTGGTTTAGTGGTCAGAGTTGATTTGGCTAATTTGAATGATTCAGCAAGAGTCTTTTGAACCTATTCATTATGCTAATTACATCCTTCCCAATCTGCATGGTCCAGGGGAGATTTTTTTACCTGTAGATTGTTCTTCAGACTAGAATAGACAAGAAGATTTCCCCTCTTTTTAGAATCTCTGCAAATGTTTTGAAGAGATATTTGAGGAGAAAAAAAATTCTCCATTCTTCCTTTGTGAATCTGGACTTGGACATTTAGAGCAATTCCTGCTGATCAACCTGAAAAGAGAAAATTTAAGAAAAGAGATACAGGAAGATACTGGAAGTAAAGTCCCTATAGGACTTTGTAACTTAAAGTATCCCAGGACACTTCTGTTCTCTGGTAGTGATAGAAAGTAATATTTATTAAAGCAATTTGACAAATAAAATGGCATTGCCCTGAGTGAAAAATGGGGTTGTAATAACCCCGAATGACTGTTGTTAGTATATGGGTAATGATGAGACTCTTTATCCTCTGTCTTTGTTGATAGGTCATTCTTGCCATCAGTAACTGGAACAAGAGTTAAAATGCATGTGGCATTTCCAAAATGCCATTTCTTGTAGAAAGGTTAGCACCGTAATAAAGTTTTAGGGAACATATGAGGCCTGCTTTCTTGTTTATTGTAGGACGTGTAGTTAAAAGGCTTGTTGTCAGCCATGCCAAAGATGATATGATTGCAAGCTAGTTACAACTTGGTTTCTAAACATTCAGTGACCTGATATTATGAACAATTAGGGTGTTGGAAGGAGCAATTATTCTTTTCACACATGTATTTTAATTCTAGGGAGCCTCTTATATGAGATGTATGCAGAGATACTTCATGGTGAGTGAAATAATTTCCTTTAAATTTCAAATAGATGTCAAAACACCATGTGATAAAATCCAGCATGCAAGTTATATGATCAAAGTAAAGTCATTTTCATAAGACCAGTTTTGCATAGGATAAGAGTAAAGTTCTTTAAAATGTTTTCTTTGACTCAGAAGAATTCATTATAGAAATTATGTTGACCTAAAACTGGAAGATGAAGAAATTAGATTTGAAGTATCACAAAGTGATTTATGGGACCAGCCACCTGTCACATCTGAATCAAAGTTCAGGGTAGTTGCTGTTATACTTAATAGCACACCGCTAACAATTATAAGGAATGAAGACAAAGTAAAATGTATAGAATTTATGGAGCACCGTGCAAAGCATTAATGATTAATGATTATGAAATATCAACTATATAAGCCTAAAAATTTTAGCACCTTTAATTTTACAAAGTATTCCACATCTATTAGCTTATTAAGCACTCAAAACGACCCTCAGTTTCAACACTTATCTTGGGCCAGTTTTACCAGTTCTCAGGGATATTCAGGAAGTTGCTCAGGAATATCTATTCCGAGACACATCCTTCTTAAGTGGCAGAGCCTGGAATCTTCTGCATTTTTTCCTACCATTCCCCATGCTGAATATTTAAGTCCAGCAACCTCCTTGTCTTGCACCATAATTTTGGCTGTTTAATACTGGGTGCTGCAGATGTGTAAATGAAGATGGCAGAAAATGTTCATATGACTGAAAGAGATGATAACATAGATGTTTTAAAATAATTTAGAAAGCCAGTATGAGGGAATAAGTTCTGCCCCAAATGCCAACAAGCAGCAATTTGAATATAAGCGATACTGTATTTATCTTGACTACTTTCTAGACTGAAATTGGCATATTTAACCTACAATTTAAAAATTGGTTATCCATATATGTAGTTTAAAAAGTGGAGAGCATAAAAGAGCTTATAATGAAAGGCAGTGTCTTTTAAAGGCACAGACTGATCCCAGTCTTCTCCTCCCCATCGTGAGCTCCCACCTTTATGAGTTCTGCATTGACTTTAATATTGCCAGGCTGCTAACGTTGACGATCTGAGTTTTAACATGGATTAAGCCTCCTGTGCTTTGGCTATCAAATGATTAAAAAACAATAAACTGCAATAGCCTCCTGATAGGTCTCTCTGCTTCCGCCTTTGCCCCTTCTAACTTGTTCTCACTGCAGCAGCCTGAATGATGTTGTTTGAGATCACATCGCTCATCTGGCCCCATTCCCTGCAATGTCCACCATTCACTCAAAGTGGAAGCTGAAGTCCTTCTAAGGACCTATAAAGTCCCACACAACCCACCTACCTCCTCCCACTCAACTTCCATCCCACCTTCCCACTCTCTCTCTCACTCTTTTGCTCTGGGACAGCCACCTTTACCTTTTTGGTTGGCAAATAGCCTTCTCGTCAAAAGGCTGTTCATGGCCTTCAGATGGCTACCTCCTCGCCACATTCAAATCTCCCTTGGATAACATCTTTTCACCTAATTTCATTGGCCCCTATGCAACTTGCTTCACAACTCACACCCTATCCCTCTGCCTGTTCTAGCATTTCCCCAGCGCACTTAACCCTACAAAACTTACCTAATGATTATCTATAATATATTATGGATTTCCTCTAGAATGTAGCTTACAATGGGGAGGCTTGTTTGTTTACTGTCTTGTTCACTGATGTAGTCCATGTGCCTACACAAGCCTGGCACATAGTAGGGAGTCAATAAACACGTGTTGAATGAACATGCAGAATTCCTGTTAAAATGATTATACAAACATTGCTTACTGAAAATGGAGAATGGAGTAGCTTCTTTTGATTATACTTCCTTCTCTGTGGTTCCAGTGTCACGAGCCCCATGCAACTTAAGGAAAAACGTTCAAATTGATTCAGCATTCTTGTTCTCCACTAAAGCAAACAAAACAGAAGTAGGCATGGTCCAGATAGAAAGCGATTAATATAAGAATTAAAAAGTGGCATGATTTTGAAGTAATTGTTCTTTTTTCACGAGACGTCCTTCTCTCTTCCTATCCTTCTCCTTCCTCTTTTGCTCCTTTTACTTCTCTTGCTTCTCTGGATGTAATACATCATTATATCAACGCTCATATTAATATTAATTCTCATATTAATTAGCCATTTTTGCAAGTCCCCCTCCTTTCCCTCTGGGATTAGCTTTTCTGCATAATTCGTCATGGTCATTGTCATGCTGCAGGCTTTCTTCAGATTTCTGGTGGTTCTTGCTTTCCCAGTCATATTCAGACTGAGGCTTCCCTGGTGGCATTTGTAAAGCAGCAGGATTTTTTTTTTTAGAGGACCTGGTGATTAAACTGAGGATTACCCTAATGCTGGAATGTGGGGGGCTTTGCTCCAGGATGTCAAAACCCTACATTAAGGGTTATAATTATCACTTGGTAGTTTGTCTATTTCTTTAGAGAAAAAAAGTTGCAGCTTTCTTCATGATTAAACATCTGTCTTGCAGGACAATCTGTACATGGAGTTGCGGGCTTCAGGCATTTCAGATGTAGACTATTAATTAACATCCCTCCCACCCTGCCCTCTGCCACCTCTGCCATCCTGATGACAGAGCTGTACTGAGATCCCACCAGAGTCTGGCTTCCTCCTTAGCTGCAGCCTTCTCTGCACCTATTTCTGTCTTCTAGAAATTTGTTTTATCTCTTGTTTTAGGCAGCCTCCCTCTCCCATATTTAATTAATTTGTGAGTATATAGTTAATAACCACATTGCTTTATTAACACCTTAAGGAAGTCTTGGGAAGAAGTGGTCATACATGTTTGCACTCAGTCTGCCATCTTGAACAGGATCATATGGGCTGGTTGTAAATTCTGTAGTTTATCCGGCTGTAATTAAGTATGGATTATGGCTATTTGATAAAAACAGTATAAAGGTGGTGCCATAGAAGCTTGCTTCTCTTCACTCTATTCTCATTGCATTGCAATTAATTTACACTGTGTATGATACACGTGCACTTAGGCTTCCTGTGCAACAGTAAAGTCTATGTGTCTGCTCTCCCTTCTTACCCCCACTGTCTTGTTAATCTCTGAAGGATGGAGATTACACCTCATTCATTTTGAAGTCCTTATGCTTACCCCAGACACAAAGATTTCTAGGGAATACTTGTTGAATGAACCAGAGCAAAATCTAAGTAAGAGTCCAATACCTCTTTATTTTAATCTTTACTATTACAGATTACTGCTTGTGCTGTCATTGTTTCTATCCCAAACTTGGAACCATTCAAACAAAAATGCACTCTTAGTACTTAGAGTCAAATTCTTCCTTTGACTTCTGTATCTTCAGGGATGTAGGCCAACTTGGTGCAATCCCAGAACAAATTCCTATGGGTGAGAACTTGTCAGAAGTTTCCCTCTCTCTCTCTCTCTCAGATCTAGACTGTTCTAGCAAATAAAAGGAATGTTTTTAGTTTGCCTTTCTAAACTCTGGATTTGCTTGAAGGTCTGTGTGTAATTTCTTGTGTGTAATAAAGGCCACAGTACAGAATGATGATGATAATAGGTACTATTCACAATATTTATAATAGAAATATGGAAACTAAAATTATCTCAGGAGGCAAATTAGAAATTGCAATAATAAGTACTATTGTAATAACAAGTCAGTGAGGGATTTATATAGGCTGATTATTAAAAAACATGTTACCAATGAATCTTTTAGAAGTATTTTAAAAGGCACTTGGACAAATCACTGCTAAGTAAAAATTTCAAGAGACTGGCCTACCCCAAGTAATTTGTTCACAGAAAGCACGATGCAGGATTCCATGAGCTATAGTAGACCTTTCATTAAGGAAGCAGTGACATAAATCATGAGTGTGGAAAACAGGGCTTCCAAGAAGTTTAATGAAGGAGATGTTGATTTGACATGAAGCATCTCAGTAGGCAGGCACTGTACCACCTCCATGTATGGAAAGAAGGGCCCCGCATGTGCCTAAGGATACATGTTGGAGCCTGCACTACAGACATGGGCATCTTGTGTAGCTCAGCATGTCACTGACCTTTGCAGCAGAGCAGACCTCACTGCATGCTCATCACCTGTGCCACTAATGGAGTGGTGCACCCCACTCCAACACGAGGCTTTTGGTGGTGCCAGATGGCACAGGAAACTCTTGAAAAGACACAAACTCAAGTCACATCAATACATTTTTTGCTTGGGTTGGTTTTACAAATCCACATTGCTCTCATGGATCGGGTAAAAAAAGATGGAAACTGAGCTCACGCTTAATGTTGATATTTCTCACTTGGATGGTACCTCCAGTCAGCTCCCCTAGACTTACTCATTTGCCCCATCCTCAACGTTTTAAGCATTCATTATATGCTTCCCAGTTATAAGTGTGTCAGCCTCATCTAGCCACATTTACTAGCTTTGCCCTTCCATCAAGTTGGACAGTAATCTCTTGCTATAATTTGAATATATCCCCCAAAAAGCATGTGTTGGAAACTTTATTCCTAATGCAACAATGTTGGGAGGTGTGTCCTAATGAGAAGTGATTAACCCTGAAGGCTGTGACCTCCTGAGTGAATTAATGCTGTTATCATAGGAGTGGGTTCCTTATACAAGGATGAGTTTGGCCCCCTTTTCATTCTCTCATTCTGTTGCCTTCTGCCATGAATGATGCAGCAGGAAGACCCTCACCAGATGCTCACCCCTTGATCTTGGACTTCCCAGCCTCCAGAAACATGAGCCAATAAATTTTTGTTTATTATAAATTACCCAGTCTCAGGTATTCCATTATAGCAGCACAAAATGGACTAAGACACCTCTCATTGTCTCAGCTGTCCTGTAGAGCTCATCTAAGTACAGCTGAGTGTAGCTCACCAGAATTGTTCCTCAAGCACTCTCCACTCATTTTGTGCATCCTATATAGAGCTTACCTCTTAAGCACTATGTAGTATATTGTATGTATTTTTACTCATCTTGTGCCCATGGCCTTCTGTTGCTTAATGTACCTATTTTACTCCATAACACTGAATAATATGCCATATGCAAAATATGGTATTTATGTCTGCACAGATGAAATTTTATACTTTAGTAAATCTATTAAAAGCTTGGTTTTTTTTTTTTTTGTTTTTTTTTTGTTGAGATGAAGTTTTGCTCTTGTTGCCCAGGCTGGAGTGCAGTGGCATGATCTTGGCTCACCGCAAACGCCACCTCGTGGGTTCAAGCAATTCTCCTGCCTCAGCCTCCCAAGTAGCTAGGATTACAGGCATGCGCCAACATACCTGGCTAATTTTGTATTTTTAGTAGAAACAGGATTTCTCCATGTTGGTCAGGCTGGTCTCAAACTCCCGAACTAAGGTGATCTGCCCACCTCAGCCTCCCAAACTGCTGGGATTATAGGCGTGAGCCACTGTGCCCGGCCTAAAAGCTTGAATTTTATGCCCTTTGGTAACACATCTTAAATTTTTTTTCCTGACAGTTTCACATTGCAAAAGATATCACATATTTCATTTGACACTTGCATCCCTCCTATGTAGGGAAAATGAACATGAAAGAAAATTCAATGAGCAGAATCTATAATGACATGCAATTTTCCACAACCCTGACTATTTGTAGGTGAATCTTCTGAAATTCTTCCCAGTTTCTATCTGCATTTTCTTTATTGACAAAATCTTCCAAACTTTTCTTAGAAATCATTACTTTTGCACTAATATCTTATTTTTCAAACAGTGACTTTCCTTAGTTGTGATATCATAATTTCCATATTGCAGGGTACCTCAAATTCAAGTTATTTTTCTGATAGAGATTGTGTATGTTACTGTAGACCAGTGGTCCTCAACCTTTTTGGCACCAGAGACTGATTTCCTGGAAGACAATTTTTCCACAGACAGGGGTGGTGGGGAGATGGATTAGATTCTCATAAGGAGGGCACAGAATAGATCCTTCACATGCGCAGTTCATGATAGGGCTGGCACTCCTATGAGAATCAAATGCTGCCACTGATCTCACAGGAGGTGGAGCTTGGATGGTAACATTTGCTCACCCACCACTCACCTGCTGTACGGACCAGTTCCTAACTGGCCATAGGCTGTTCGATTTTCAATAATATTGTAGAGGCTTTCCTGATGTTTTTGTAGCATGAACTAGATGATTATAATAATAACTACCTATTTTGGGGTAACTACTGTGTGCAAGATTCTTTCCACATGTAGACCCCACCTCTCTAAATGCTTCTGTTTACTATGTGGAGAGTCAAATGTGAGCTCTGTCTCATATGGTGGGTAGATTAGTCAGGGTTCTCTAGAGGGACAGAACTAATAAGATAGATATAGATATACAAAGGGGAGTTTATTAAGTATTAACTTACACAATCACAGGTTCCCACAATAGGCCACCTGCAGGCTGAGGAGCAAGGAGACCCAGTCCGAGTTCCAAAACTGAAGAACTTAAAAGTCCGATGTTCCAGAACAGGAAGCATCTAGCATGGGACAAAGATGTAGGCTGGGAGGCTAGGCCAGTCTTGCCTTTTCATGTTTTTCTGCCTGCTTTATATTCGCTGACAGCTGATTAGATGTTGCCCACCCAGATTAAGGGTGGGTCTGCTTTCCCCAGCCCACTGATTCAAATGTTAAGCTCCTTTGGCAACACCCTCATAGACAGACCCAGGATTAATACTTTGCATCCTTCAGTCCAATCAAGTTGACACTCAGTATTAACCATCACATTGGGGAAGCCACCCTCTCTCCCCCTACAGTCTGCTGAAGGGCCTCAGGACTGGCTTGCATTCTGCAGCTGCAAATGTCTAACTGGCTCAATTCCTGTCAAACTGCTTCTTCTGGTTGTCTCCACTCTCTAGCAGCTTTCTCATTACCTTACTTTCCCAGTGGAGACTTGAGGAAGGTATAAGGAAATTAGAAATGCTAAAAAGAAAGGTGTCAACATTATACATCATCTAAAGTCCATAGGCTACATTCCTATGTGCAGTTTCCTTCATTGGCCCTGGTCTAACCCCTTGTCAAGTCCCACTGCTTCTTAATGTCCCTCTTCTGGGAACGCTTGAATACTGCAGCCATTACACCTCTACTATGTCTTTTGTGAAGTCTTATTTAAGTCTCCCATCCAATATTCTATTGGTTATCTGTCTTTTTCTTAGTAAGAAAGAGACGGGTGAGGCTATGGTGTTCCCTTATCTCCAATCTAAGACAATCAACTATCCTGAGTAATGTGTCTTACATTTTCCTTCCTGAAAATTTTACATCACAAAAGGTATGAGATGTCTCATTTGACAACTGCATTTTTTTTTTTTTTTTTTTTTTTTTACTAGTTATCCTGCAACTAATAGAAGAAAGAAACATGGAGAAAATGGAGCAGATATTCAAAGTAACTGTATTTGACTTTGGTTAGCAATGATACAGACTTGGCAGGCATAAAACTGACTGTGCCATTCTGACACCCTCACTCTCTCAGCAGGTCTGATTTACTCCTGATGTTCACTTCTGGTGAGTTAATATATTACAGCAGTTTAGAATTAATTGCACCCTGTTGTATAAGTTAATTCTCATTTAATTCTTTTTCTTAATCTTACTAGCTTTTGGCTTCATAATTCTATTAAAATGGGGCAGTATATAGAAACATAAGCTGTATCAGAAAAATAGCTTAACTAATTTAATTTGTTTTCTTAAAATTGGCTGGTTTTTGCATCATAATGCCATTCAAAATGGGATGGTCTATAGAAACATATACAAGCTGTATTAGAAAATAGCTGGGCTTAAAGGCATTTTATGATATAGAAGCGATTTTCACCCGATTTACTATTTTTCCCCTGAAATCAAATATCAATATAATTAGTCTGCAATTGTGGGAATCAACCTTCTTCGTTTTAAATATGAGCATGATGATGTATTCCTGTAGTCCTGGCTACTCAGGAAGCTGAGGTGGGAGGATTGACAACCCAGGAGGGCTCATAGTTGCCATGCCATTCTTAATTTTTTTAATAAAAGATTTTTTTGAAGTATAGTGTATATATAGAAAAGTATCCAGGCTTTAAGAGCCCAGTTTGATGAATTTTCATAAAGTGAATACATCCATGTGCCTACAACTCATGTAAAAAAGCAGAATGTTGGCAACCAGACCCCCTTCCTCATACTCCTTTTTATTTTATTTTTAGTTATTATTATTATTATTATTATTATTTGTAGAGACGAGGTCCCACTATGTTGCCTAGGCTGGTCTTGAACTCCTGGGCTCAAGTGATTCTCCCATCTTGGCCTCCCAAAGTGTTGGGATTATAGGTGTGAGCCACCATGCCCCACCTCATACTCTCTTTTAGTTACCGTTCTCCCAAAGGTAACCTGACTTCTAATGCCACGGGTAACTTTGCTTGTCTTTGCAATTGATTAGTATGTAATTTTGTGTGTACATCTACTTTTGTTTTTGAGATCATCAACACAGTTGAATGTAGCATGTTTTCATTGTTGTATTCTACTGTATGAATATACAACAATTTTATAATTTATTCTAATGTTGATGGACATGTCATTTATTGCACATGTATATACATTCCCAGAGGAGGAATTGCTAGATCCTAGAGCTATACATGGTCATTTGCTATCTAAGAGTTTTTGAAAGAAGCTGTATTATAGACTCCCACCAACATTACACGATAGTTGCAGTTACTCAATGTTCTTGTCAACTTTTGGTATTCTCGGTCTTTTGGAATTTTACTCATTCTAACAAGTGTGGAGTGGCATCTCACTGAAGTTTTAATTTTCATTTTCCTGATGACTAATGAGGTTGAACACCTTTTCAGGTTTCTTGGTGATTTGGATACCCTCTTTTGTGAGGTGTCTATTTAAGCCTTTGGTCCAACTTTCTACAACTTATTTTTTTCCCTTTTTATTGATACTTTAAATAGGCAGGATTTAAATCCTTTGGCAGTTATATGTATTGAAAATATCTTCTCCTACTTATATTTTTAAATTTACTTCATGTTGAATTTTTCATATACAGAAGTATCTAATTTTAATATAGTTAAGTATGAATATTTTTCTTTACAGTTAGTGGTTTTAGCACCTATTTAAGAAATCTGGTCTACTTCAACATCATATACATATTCTCTTATGATGTCTTCTAGAACTTTAAATTTTACCTCTCACATTTGGATCTACAATCTAACAGGAATTGATTTTTACTTATACAGTGAGACGGGGTCAAAATTGATGTTTTCTTCCATTTGATCCAGTATATAGCATAATTTGCTTGCCTGATAACAGAAGATAGATAGTAACAATAATGAAAACAGAGAATGTATAGAATGATGCTCAGGAAATATAACACAACAAAAACAAAGCTAAAATAAAACCCAACAAAGAGCAAAGATTGGGTGATTGGCTATGTCTGGAGGCAATTTTGGGGTATGTATTAACACTCCCTCCAAAACTAATTTCCCATATGGCTGGGAAAGGAACCTATCACCTCCTTTTGAAAAATAACATGACTGTAAGTATTCAGATTTTGTCACGATATACAGTCCCATTTCTTCTCTACAATATGCTCTTTCACATTATATGTTACATTTTACATCAACCTAAGATTAATACTCTATTTCCAAGCTTTATGCAGAATCAGACAATTTGTCATTCTTTGCACTCTGTTGTGGGAGATGAAGAAAAAAAAACCCAACTATTGTTTTGTACAAAAATAGCATTAAAAATTTTAAATTCTATTTTCCTTATTAGTTCAAGACAATGTATCCACTTTTCTTTTTTATTGGATTTGGAATTGTTATTGTGTAATACATTTAAATTCCCCAGTGTTTTATTAGAACAGCCTATTAAATTATGTGTTTGGAAGAGATGCATTCATCTTTTTACATATGAATGTTATGTAAAACTGTGGTCATGCATTTCATTTGCTTCCCACAGTGTGACTTGCGGAGGTACAGGACATCTAGGAGCATTTAGAAACCAGTTATAGGCTGGTAGATCAACTCAGAGAACAAAACAGTTGATAACTTGTTGCTTTTTATTAAGGATAATAAATATAAATGTATGTTTCTAAAGCATTAAAGACGTATATCTTCATAGCTACTATATATCAAGGGGCTGCAGGAAGCTTACATAGAATTTGAAATGACAAATATGGGCTGTGCATAGAATTTGAAATGAGAAATATTGGCCATTTTGGGGGTTGTCTCTCAGGAAGGGAGGCCGAGAGGTGGGTGTGTGGTGCTTCATCATAGAGTGAGAGGAGTTCGGGAAGCCCCAGTGTGGAGTTATGGCATTTTAGCCCTGCTTTAAGTTAAGCTGAGCTAAACATGATACGATAAAATGATCTGCAGCTTTTCTCATCAAGGCGATTCTTCAGTGATCTCAGGAAACTGGCTCACCTGGACAGAATCTGGGCATAAATTACTATAACAGAAAGGCCAAAAAGAGAAGCTTGCGAAGGAGCAGGGGAAGTAAGAAAGAGGGAGATACTCATTTCTCAACAGAATTGAGGAGCCATATCTCTAGTGAGTGGCATATATTGAATTTAATAATGTTCGTCTGCTGGAGCAGACATCAACATAGGGTGTAAAATTTGGTGTGACATCGATCTTGGACTTGGTGTATATATATACCATTTATATATATATGATATATATATATACCATTTATATATATATGACATATATATATATATATACCATTTATATATATGAGATATATATATACCATTTATATATGAGAGATATATATACCATTTATATATATGAGATATATATACCATTTATATATATATGAGATATATATACCATTTATATATATGAGATATATATATACCATTTATATATATGAGATATATACCATTTATATATATACCATTTATATATGAGATATATATATATCATTTATATATGAGATATATATATACCATTTATATATATATGAGATATGTATACACCATTTATATATATATGAGATATGTATACACCATTTATATATTATATATATACCATTTATATATATGATATATATCCATTTATATATGATATATATATCCATTTATATATATATGATATATATACCATTTATATATATGATATATATATCATATATATATCAATCACAAACTCCACCCTTCCCCACAAACACCTCCCAAACTAAACCCAAACCCAAAGTTGATTCTATTCAGCAAGTCTTCTCTAAAATCTGCGGCCTCTAGTTTGATCAGGCCAAAGAAATATTCAACTGTTTGATTCTTTTAAAGTCCTATTGTGTCTGAAGTTTCTTTTACCTTCTTAAAATTCTTATCTTGATCACACTTCTCTTTGCATCTGTGTCTTTTTCCACAGTTGACTTTCCAATTTATTAAAAAACACAAAAAAGCAAAAAACAAACCACCACTAGCAACAACACCCCCCGAAATCCCCCCAAACCCTGAGGTCTGTATATTTCCCAAATGTGCCTTGGCTTTTCTTTTTGCTTAATTTAAATTTGTCCTATGTCTCAACATGATGTACAACTCTATGTGTGTGTGGCTACTTTTATACAGAATTGTCATCTGGCAGATTTTTTTTTTTCACAGTGTTAAGTTTTGGAATTGCTTTTTCAACTGCTTCTCTGCTCTGTAGTCTCTTGACTTGAAGTCCTGAATTCTTCTGCTGGCATTTCACATGTAGTGATGTTTGTTGTCTCTGAAATATTATGTCTGGAGTGAGCATCCCTTCAAAAATATATAGAAATATGTTTTTTAAGGTCCATGCCTAATAAAACTGCAGCTGTCTATCTGCTGAGGGAAGCAAGGAACTGCAGCTCTTGCACAGGAATAAAGTACTAGAAATATCATTACCCAGAAATACAAGAGCTTCAGGTGCAGAATATACCAAAATAATTTCTGTTACCTGCATTCAAAATGTGGTTATGCTGACAAAACCTTCAGACAATGTGTATATGGCAAAGAATCTCTCTGAGAACCAGAGAGAAAAATCAGGAACGTTGGGGCTGTATGCACATCTAAATTCATAAAGATATTTTGGAATGACATTAACTCTGCTTGCGAGTTTCACTGGAGAACCACTGCATCACCCTCCAAAAGGAATGTATTAATATTTAGTCATAATAATGAATCTAACAAGGAAGCAATCATGTAATTGAACAATAACAGCAGTGTGTTTCCCAGAGAAGATTCAAATCAAACAACAAGAACAGAGCTTCTGTAATTTTCTCTATGCTCTTTTCTGAAGAAGAAAGGATGTTAATGTTGTATTGTTTCTTTCTTGTTTTTTGTTTTTTTTGAGACGGAGTCTCGCTCTGTTCCCCAGGCTGGAGTGCAGTGGCGTGATCTCAGCTCACTGCAAGCTCCGCCTACCGGGTTCATGCCATTCTCCTGCCTCAGCCTCCCGAGTAGCTGGGAATACAGACGCCCGCCACCATGCCTGACTAATTTTTAGTATTTTTAGTAGAGACAGAGTTTCACCGTGTTAGCCAAGATGGTCTCGATCTCCTGACCTCGTGATCCGCCTGCCTCGGCCTCCCAAAGTGCTGGGATTACAGTATTGTTTCTTTCTTTAAGTTCTTTGATATTGAGGTCAAGACTATGCTTCCACATTGGTTGACCCTCCTACCTGTTAAAAATATAAGATCTGGCTGTATCCAAAACACATGCCATTTCCAAAGCGGATTTCATATTGTCTCTTCAGGACCAACTAGGTGGCAGGAAGCTAGGACCCTCATGATGTCTTGGAACATTCAAAGTCCTGTTTCTCAGTGGGTGGAAGAGAATTAGTGAAACAACAACCACAAAAGGCTGCTGACCTTTGTTTTCCTTTGCAAGCTGACTTCTCAAGCTCTGGGGATGCCTCAGTGATCTCTGATGTGGAATTAGTGGAGGCTGGCCGTTGCTCACCTCTACACAGCCTGCTGGTCGTTAGCGAGCAGGAGTTCTGATGTTCCTCTCATCTTGGATGGTAAGAAATTTATGAAAATGCTAAGTCCTGAGGATTAATAGAGGAAATGAGGACTAAATATACAAAATAGTCCAGAAGGTGGCAGGTGGAACACAGCAATAATATATGATGTTAGTCATCAGTCATTAGTGCCACAGGGATCCTAGGCGATGGCTGGGAAATGGCTTTTGCAGGCTGAGATGGTGGTAGCGCTTCACCCTCTAAGGCAAGTGCCTATGATTCAATGGGTGAACTCACTGCCACCCCAGCAGGGTGGGGTTGGGGTTGGCTTGGTGAGAAGGGAGATGTCATCTTGCCCAAGGAGGCTTATCCCTTGTGAAAGTCTGGAACAACACACAAAACACCAGGAGGAACTGTTTCGGAGTGCTGTCTTGAATGCAAGCAGGCAGCCTCCATTTAGATCTCACTGATTCTTCTAGGATATTACAAAGCACTTTCTTACCCCAAATCCTTCAGTGCCACCCTGCCACTAAATACAAAGAAGAAGCTCTGCTTCCCACCGTGCAGAGGAGCCACAGGGATTGCATGGTCCCCATGACTGCCTCTTTGGCCCAGGGAAAGGGCCCAATCAGACAGCACCCCAGATCTTAAGAGAAGAACTTCCAGTCAAAACAACAGGGCACCCCCGTGTGCTGGAAGGTCCAACTCTCTCCAGTCCCAAGAGTGTTAAGCATCTGGCTAAGGCTTTGCTAAATTTCCCATAAGAGCTGCATTGTTTTCTTCTGTCTGTTAGACCTAGGAAGTTTTCTGGGTGTGGACGTAGGGCTTTTGCAAGTTTCAAAGCTTCCAGGGGATTAGAAACCATCATTCCCAAGCATTTACAAGAAAATCTTTTGTCCCCACTGCTTGATATCGAAAAACAAGGGTCACTCTTCTTTTCCCCTAAGGAGGGAAATGGGAACACCCCGCTGACCATCTCCTTCTGCCTCAGGCACTTTCATGGAGACAGTCGAGGGCTTTGGGGCCTGTCCTACCTGGTGGTCTACTCAGTAGAGCCATCGGGCTGAAAAGGAGACATCTGTTAAGGTAACTGGTGATCCCATGTAAAAGCTTTGACTAAACCACAGGAGCTGGAACCACTTTCTCAGTAAAGCATGCCAGGAAGCACAAATAAAGTCATGTGCTGCATAAGGACGTTTTGGTCAATGAGGGACTGCATAAATGATGGAGGTCCCATAAAATTATAATATCATATTTTTACTGTCCCTTTTCTATGTTTAGATAAACAAATATTACCATTGCATTACAACTGCTCACAGTATTTCAGCAGGAAAGGGCCCTTCGGGAGGGGCTCCAGCTTGCCTCTCCAGGTCTAGGTCTTATCGTTCTTCCCCTTGAAGTTGACCCTACAACCTTATTAAATCTTCTGCAGTTACCAAAAGTGATAATGTGCTTGGCCTTTGTTTAAGCTGTGCTCTCTGCCTTGAGCTGTCCTCCTTCCCTCTGCTCAAGTGCCCCATTTTTCATGTCCCTTGGGAACAAGCTCAGGTGTCATCACTGAATTCAGGTAGATGCCCCTCTTATCTGTCCCCAGAGCATGCTGCACTTATCCCCATCACAGCACTTCTCATGCTCTGTTATAATTTCCTTCCTATTCCATTAGCATATGAGGAACCAAGGGCCATGTGTCATTCATCCTAGTACATGTTACTTAGTGGAGTTGCATAAATACTTATGGAATGAATAAATTGACTAAGAGGTGAGCTGGGCTCAGCTTGTGGATGATCCTGAAAGATAGATTGGCAGACTCTTACCTTTTTTGGGAGTGTGCAACCGGAAACTGTTTATTGTGTTTTTGAGGTGGGAGATAATTTATTGGGACTGTCCTTTGGCATGATAGCTCTAGAATGAGTGCTAAGGTTGAATGGGATGGAAGAGAGAGCCAGTTAGTAAGCCATTGCAGGGTGCAGGTGAGACAGAATAAACTGAAGTTAAATAGGAGTAATGCGGGAACATTCAAAATAGGGTCAGTAAGAAGTGATCACAAATAACGCAAGGGAGACGGAGGAATCAAGGGTGATGTGGAGGTTTCCAGCGTCTACTGAAGTGAGTGAATGAGGATGCCTCTTTCCCACTAGAGGAAGATAGGTATGGGGGTGGCCACAGCTGCCCGGTTGCATGGATAGGAACTCCTTGACTTACCTTTTATTAGAAGATGGGTAATGATGACTCCATCACTGTAACTGCAATCTATTCTGGGTGAAGAGTGCCCATACGGTAAATGTTTTAAAATATTCTGAATATTGCCCCTGGTCCCAAGGGATGAAGGCATTGTGGAGGAGTTTTCCCTTAAGCATAGTTGAAATAGGAGAAAAAAAAAAGAAAAGGAAAAATCAGAAGTTATGTCTTAGAAGGGTGTTGATGTGGATTGGTTTACCAGGGTTGCTGTAACGAAGCAGCATGGCCTGGGTGGCTTGAACAACAGAGGTTTATTTTCTCACAGTTCTGGAGGCTAGAAGTCTGAGATCAGGCTGTCAGTGGGTTTGCATCCTCCTCAGGCCTCTCTCCGGGCATGTAGGTGGCTGTCATCTCCCTGCGTCCTCACAGGGTCTTTCCTGTGTGGGTGTCTGTGTCCTCATCTCTTCTTCTAAGGACACAAGTTTGTTTTTGGATTGGGATCCACCCTAATTACTTCACTTAACTTTAATCACCTCTTTAAAGACCTACCTCCAAATAGGGTCACGGTGTGAGATACTGGGAAGTTAGGACTTCAATATATGCATTTTGGTGGCAGGAGGCGCACAATTCAGCCCGCAACATGAGGCATGAGCAAAAATATAAATTTAAACAATGTTGGCAAAAACAGATTCAAAAGCAAAATGCAACGCCAAAGCATGAGGAAAGGGAAGAAGTTTTGGATAGTAGGCATGGATGAGGTGGTCCCGAGGGAGAGAAGAGGCTGGGGCACCACGCGGAGGGGTTTGGTAGACCCTGAGTGGTTTCTCTCATTGTAGAGGGTCAGGAACAATTTGAACACAGAACAACTGAAGAGCCAGGCTTGATGGCTCTGTTAAGGAAAAGACACTTTTAGGACGTGCAGTTGGACCTTTTCAAGAAGCTGTTGGAGGTCAGGGTCTGAGTTGAGAAAGGAGCTTGGTCCTGTAAGTCATCGACACTCAGTTGCTTCTGGATCCCATCCTCACCCCCTGCACCGCGGGGTCCTTCTCAGGGAACGGGCCACTTCCCGATGCTCCCTGGGCTGCCATCAGCTGCCATGAACACTCTGCTTAGTGGAGGCTCCGTGGCCTGTGAATTAGCATCAACCTGAAATAACAAGCAGGGGCTTCCTATGAGTCAGCCATAGTCTGTTCAGAGATGCTGCCTAAAGGGTCTAAATCCAAAGGCATTAATTAATTTGTTCCCAGGGTCCACAGCATGGGGAGCTCAAGCCCTTCCATTTCCGCTCATTGATACCGGCTGGGTAATATTATGTGGGTTCCATTTTTAATGTAGAATGCCTTATTTGACAAACATCCAGACAGCACCCCCAACTTTGTTTTCTTGAGCAGAAGAGAGAAAACAAGAGATGAAGGCATTGATGCATCAGCCCTGCAGAAAAATGGCAAAGGTTACAATATGTTATATTTAGATCCGCAATTTGCCGAAGGAAGATAATTGGGAAATTAAGTTGCCTGGTTGGGAAATCAGCCGTCCTTTTGTTTTTGTCCGGTTGTGTAGTCTCATAAATGTTCAGGGCTTCAATACCTTTAGGCACTTATAATTAATTTTTTAAAAATTGGAAGATTCAGTATATAAGCTGCCTGATTTAATGAAATAAGTCAAAAGGAGAAAAAAGAAGGGAGTTTCTTGCAGTAATTGGTTGTTACATTTTTCCACATTGCCATTCTAATTCATTCCTTTGAAAAGAGTTCGTTTTTCAGATTCTATAAGTACCCATGGCAATAAGTGCTATTTATAATAAAGAGACATAATGAGTCTCAGCTGCACCCAGGGAGGTTGCAGCAGGTCAGGAGCCTCTCTGTCTGCTCCATTGTTGCTGGGAGAGAGGGTCTTGTTCCAAGGGTTGGGTGGGAAACAGGAATTCCCCACACTGTCCCTGAAATTGTGGAGTGATGAACTAGGGAGGGAAGTCTTAACTGGAATTTTTCAATATTAGATTTTCCAGAGACTTCATTCAGCCCACTCTTCAGTAGGGAAATAAATCCTTTATGTAGAAAAAAAATCAAACCATTTCCTTTTGAATAAGGTAATCTCTGAATCTGAGGAACCCCGAGATAAGATGATGTATTAGCCTGCTCAGGCTGTCATAACAATGTACCGCAGACTGGGTGGCTTCAACGTCGGAGATTTATTTCCTTGCAGTTCCGGAGGCCGGGAGTTCTAGAATACATCAAGGCATCCACAGGGTTGGTGTCTTCTGAGTCCTCTCTCCCGGGCATGCAGGGGGCTGTCATCTCCCTGTGTCCTCACATGGTCTTCACCCTGTGTATGTGTGCCTTACTCTTTGCTTAAAAGGACATCAGTCATATTGGGTTAGGGTAGAGCCTCATTTTACCTTCACTACCATTTTAAATACCCTATCTCCAAACACAGTCACATTCTGAGGTACTGGCTCTGCATATAAATTTGGGGGGACACATTTCAGCTCATAATAGATGTGCATCTTATTTTTGAAAATAAAATTACAGAGGTCTTTCCTCTTATTCCCTTTTCCTCTTTCACCATTCCTGCCTTTCCTGTATTAGCTGAGACAGTAATTCATATTGTCAGAGCACACACTGTCTCTCTCTCTCACACACAAACACACATACCTCCACACACTTTATCTTTCCTGCCTCCAAATTATTTTCTTGTTATTGGAAGCAAAAATGCATTTTTCCTTCATAGGCACCTTCTTACCCAGTCCTCAATGGGTGCTGTGATCAAAGGAGGCCACCACAGCTCTATTAGCTCATGCCCAAATAAAGCCAAATCTCACACCTTCCACAAGTGACCTGTGTTGCTCCCTTCCTGAGGTTGTTTCACAGAGAAGAGACCCAAGGTTAGGCTGGCTGTTGGCCTCCATCAGTGATAGTGATGGCTGGGTCACAGGTTGCTGAAGGAGTCAAGGGACTCATTCAATACTGGATGCTTCTGTTCCTCTTTCCTCTGGGGCTGGACTAATTAAGGAAAAATGTTTCCTGGCTGTTCAGGTTTCCTCCATGCTAATTCAGGCCTATTCTTGCAGATGCATACAGTTATGACTTCATTATGCTTGTTGGTATGGAAATAGAGGTAAGATCAGGTGCCCAGTGGTCTGAAAAATGTTGACATGCATTTTTGAGCCTGTCCACAGTTGTCGTTAAAGCCTTGTCAGACTTCCCTGGGAGGACATTTAGAGTGAGAAAAAAGAGAACCTAGGAAAAATTCCTGGGAAACATCAGCATTTCCAGTTCAGCTGCATGCTTGCAGATGCGAAAAAGTCAGGGAAGTGGAAGCCAGGAAGGTGAGAGGAAAACCGGGATGGGAGGAGCTGTGGAGATCAAGGGTGGGGCAAGAGTTTCATCGGGGAGGGGCAGCAGTCTGCAGTGGCCAGGGTTGTGGATACATGAAGCATATGATTCCTGACTAAGTGAGGATTTCTGGAGTGCGTCATCTAATTTTCTCTGAACTCATTTTGCAAGAATTTCCTAGGGATTCCATTGGGGCGGGCGAGGTTCCCCTTGATGCTTTCATGTAGTAGTTGGCTCAGAGGGAATGGTGGAGGTAGGAGGCATATAGCTCCTCTTCAAGTGCCACTTCAAATCCACTAGGTGTTATCTCTCATTTTGGCTACTGAGCTACATGTTGTGCCCCCGTTCCAGCACCTTCCAGCAGGTGTAACTGACAATACTCACCCCAGGCTCACACACATAGCCTTTGCTTTGTGCTGCTGTCTTCTCCATTGGTATGGCATGGAGCATGGCCATTAGCACCTGCTCAGTGCTCATGAGTGCACCAGAGTTATTTCCCTGTGGGCAGCTTGTGACCAGAGTAGGTCAGAAGCTAATGGAGAAATGCTTCCTCCTTTCCTCCTCTGGGAAAAAGGTCTGCAGAATTGAGCAACTGGTTGCCTGTGGTGATGGCCAAATTTCTGAACACATCATTAGAATGTTAGGGTGACTCTCTCCTCCTCTGCTTTGCTTTCTCTCACCCTTGGTCCATGGACCACCCTCCCTACTGAAGTACTTGCAACTCAACTTTGGGGGAAACTGTGGATAAGAGAATTAGTCTGGGAAGAGTTGGATTACTTAAAAGTCAAAGAGGAATACGGACCCCATTGCTGGTGATAAGAGGAGTGGTGATAATCCTTGGTATGCAACAGCTTCCTGTTACTATGGCTCTTGCCTGTGGTAGAGTGATGTGTGGCACAGGTGGAAGGTAATGCATTAACTTAGGTCAGCAGCTGGCAAGCCATCGTCCGTCGCCTATTTTTGTATGGCCTGTGAGTATAAAATGGCTTTTGCATTTTTAGAGGATTGGAACCACACACACACACACACACATACACACACACACACACACACACACAGAATATGCAACAGAGACTGTGTGTAGCCTACAAAGCCTAAAATATTTTCTGTCTTCCATTTACTGACGAAGTTTGCTGAACTCTGGTGTAAGTGATAGGGTACCATGTGAACAATGAGAACATGAAGAATGGCCATGGCAGCTGACAGCTAACGGCTAGATAGTACTAGTGAACATGAGTAACACTCACAGAATATAAGCAATAATTAGACAAGGCCACTGTGTCACCACCATGGAACAAGACAGACAAGACCACTTCATGACTGTGAGTGAAACAAGATAGAGACAAGGACACCCTGCAACTCCCCCTCCAAATAACTTAACATGCCACTCTTCTAACAAGAATAAGAGACTATCACTTCGTGCTGATTGCAACTCTATCTGTGATTCAATCCTCCTGCCTCCTAATTAAAAATTACCAAGGAACCAAATCACTGAATTGTTCACATACCCTAACAGCATTCAGTCTAGAACTGTCTTTGTTTCCTTCAACTCTCCCTCCAATCACCTGGCACAAGGTCAAATTCTACAAAAATCCTATCTTAATTCCTAGTTTCCAAGACATCCCACAGCCCTACAGAAATAAAGACCACCCAACTGAGAACAAGGATGGTGATTTATTCGGAGCTTGCTGTAGTGAAAGAGTCGGCCACCATCACTGGTGTTTGGCAGAGACTCAAAGGCAGGCAGAGGGGTGGGAGAGCTTTACAGTGGGCAAAAAAGACGTCTTCAGGTGTGCCCCAATTGGAGGCTGTTGGCCTAGAGAAGCTGGAGGTGGCCAAGTAGGAGCAGGGCAGGCTATGTGATTGGTTGGGGACATATTTGACCTTCTCTGGTTTGTCCTGAATTGGAAGTGGGGACAAAAATCAAGAAATATGTCAGCTATTAATCATGTGCTGGTCATTTTGGGCTGATTGCTACAGAAGTTGTGGCTCAGAGTCTTATTGCCACCTCTGGTCCAGCCACTGGCCATGGGTGTGTTCAGTTTTCAGTTCTCTGGAATGCCTTCTTTTCTCTGCAGTAAGCTCAATGAACTTGGAAGCAGATTCTCCCCCACAGCCTCTAGGGAAGAGCCCAGCTATGTCAATGCTGATTTGGGCCTGTGAGACCCTAAGCTGAGAACACAGTTAAGGCCCCCCAGACTTCTGATCTCCAGAGTTAGAAATAAATGAGCACTCTTTCAAGCTGCTGAGTTTATGCTAATTTGTTTGACAACAGGTGATTCCTGAGGGTCACTGGTTACTGGACTTGGAAAACTGTGTGAGTGCAAGCATAATTATTAGGATCACAGTGTATGCTGGGTTTTGTTAACTGCATTGACAGCCTTAAAGAAAATGGTACCCTCAGATCAGCCAACTGTCAACTCAAGGTGTGCTGTGAAAGCTGGAGGCCTGTAGAAAGAGTTTAAAGAACCATGACCTCCTTTAGCCAGAGGAAGACTAGATATCTACAAAGACCTCACTTGAGGCTGATCCTTCCTCACAAGATGGTGTTCATCCTCCTGAGGGTCTTTGCTGTGACCCCTTACCATCTCCAGACCAATGACCAGGATCAGGCCTCATAGCCCTGCCTGCCCTGAAAACATAGGGATAAAACAGATCCCAGTGGTTATTTAGCAAATGTTCTGCATCCTCTATGTCTGCATCAGTTACTACCTCAAAACAGCTGGCATTTTGCCTTTTTTCCCCCACTAATTTAAAGCGCATTCTGAGAGCAGGGGTCAGCACACTCTTTCTTTAAGGGTCAGATTGTAAATATTTTCATTTCTGCAAACCATTTGGTCTTTGTTGTTATCCTCCACTTTGCCACTAGTAGACATAGATAATACACAAGCGAATGGGCATGGCTTTTGTTCCAATATAACTTGGTTTACAAAAACAGAAACAGGCCAGATTTGGCCCACAGGCTATAGTGTTCCAGCTTCAGTCTTGGAAAATCATTTAATCTCTCTGGGTTTCATTTCTACACCTGTAAAATTAGAGTATTGTTCTAAGACAATGCCTCTCACACTCCAGCTAGCGTTAGAATCATGTGGAGAGCTACTGAAAGCACAGATTCTTGCACCTTACTCCCAGTGATTCCAGTTGAATAGGTCTGGAGTGGGATCTGCATTTTTAACATGCTCCCAGGTAAAACTAGTGCCGCTGGTCCAGGGACCATGCTTTGAGTAGCAGAAGTCTTGGGCAGTACTTCTCATCCCTGGCTTCAGAGGAGACTCGTGCTGAGAACTTTTAAAAAGATACTGATCCCTCTGTTCCACCTAAGACCAATTAAATTACAAGCAGAATCCAGGCTTCTGAGCATTTTAAAATTTCCCCCAAGGGATCATGTACAATCAGGGTTGAGATCCACTGGTGGAGGTGAGCTCCACAGCCCTGCCCTCCAAGTATGATTCTTGATGAGTGGCCTTGGCATCAGCACAACGTAGGAACTTCCCAGTAACACACAGTCTCGGGCTCCACCTTGACCTACTGAATCAGAATCCACATTATAACAAGATCCCTTGGTGATGCATGAACACATTAAAGTTGGGGAAATGGGGTTCTACAGGAAGGAATGGATGAATATTTTCACAGGTTCCTCTTCTCCTACTACACACCAGGCACTGGGTGGGCTATACTTAAGTCACTTAAACTTGCCTGTGTAGGTTTTCTACTGCTGTCCTGACAGATTAACATAAACTTAGTAACTTAAAGCAACACTCATTTATTTTCTCACAGTTCTGTGGATTGGCAGTCTGGGGAGGCTCAAGTGGGTTCTCTGCTCAGGATCTCACAGGCCCAGAGCAGGGTATTGCTGTGTTAGGTTCTTAACTCAGGCTTGGGGAAGGAATCCACTTCTAAGCTCAATTACGTTTTTGGCAGAATCAAGCTTCTTGCAGTTGTAGGACTGAGGTTGCTGTTTTCTTGTGAGCTGTTGGCCAGGGGTTGCCTTCTGCTTCTAGATGTCTCTTTGAGTTCCTTTTAACTTTTACATTATGTTCAAAGATAGCAACCATTCATCATATCCTCCTCATGCTTCCAACCTCTCTGACTCCTCCTTCCGCTACTAGCTAGTGAAAACTTGCTTTTAAAGAGCTCGTGTGATTATATTAAACTCACCTCCATAATCGCCAATTTTACTAATTCAAGGTTGATGGATTAGTAACCTTAATAACATCTGTAAAATTCCTTTTTCCATAAATGTGTTATCTCGTATATTCCCAGTCACTGGCATTAGGGCTGAAGGTCTTGGGGGACATTTAAGAATTCTGTCTACCTCAATGTACCATGCCACTTACACGTCAGTCTTAGAGTCAGATTTTGAATCTAGGTGTGTCTGATCCTAAGGCTTATATGAACATTATTTTACCAATTTGTTTCTCTGTGGTAAGAACAAAGGTGTTCTTTGTTCAGAGAAATTTATAGTTATCAAAGAGCTTTCACATTTATTTTATTGTTTGGTCTCATAAAAGACCTTTATTAGGTATTATTATTCTTTTTATGGGGGATTGAGAATGTTTAATTATTTGTTCAAGGGCCTATAAGCAGAATATAGAAAATTCAGGACTGAAGAATGGGTCTCCTGATTCCAAATTTCATACTTTTCCTTTTATATTACCACAATTTTATAATTTCTTATTTAGATCATTCTTGTTGTCTAATTAGAAAACAAATTTACCAGGATAGAATAAAAGAAACTAGCAGAGTAGTTGTAGATAGGATGCAAATGTCTGAATCCTGCAGTGGGCCCTGCACAGAAAAATAGACCCACCTGTTACGCTAATTGAAGGAAAAACTCTGCTGAAATTCAGAGAAGTACTCCATTCAGGTCTTAAAAATTATTGTTCTTAAAGAAGACAGTCATTCAATTTTTAAATGTAATTTAGAAAACAACCAATTCACAAAACAAACACTTTTTACTGAATTACAAGTCAATCATGACCTTACTTTGGAGAAATGACAGGAAATATTGGCAAATCATGTGGATGCAACTCACATTTGTGATAAGAAAGTTAGCCTGCTCCCATGGATGAAGCTTAAGGAGAATCATAAAACCATCCTCCTTCTAGTGACTATCTTTCAGTTCATTCTCTTTTTGTTTCAAAAGCAAAGAAACCAATGTGACCTGAATGAACTATAATTACAAAGCTAAGATTCTTTCAGAGGGCAGGATGATATCTACTGGTTGGGGTTTTCTTGGCATGGCCAACTAGGATTCTGGTATATAGGGCATGTCTCTCATGAGTCCCCTAATAATGTAATCATTTTTTCTTCTCCATATGGTGCAAAAGTCATATCTAGTGAGAAAGTATCCTTACATTGCCAGTTTAGAAGTTATTTTATGCTTAAAAAATGGCCCAGTCAGTTGTTCAAATAAAAAACAGCTGGAAATTCAATATCTTGGGCTGTTTCCTTGTCATCATTTATAGATGTAAGGGGTTTCATTACAATCTGAGAGGCAGTCTATGATTTAAACAAATTATCAAAAAAATTAGGCCTTGGTCAGCTCAATTTTATTAAAAGCCTTCAGATCTTAAAGGATCAATGACTACAAGAGAAAGGTTAACCCCCAGGGCTCCTGGTTGGTGAACAAACACATCAAAGTGAAATCAGAGTTAAAAGCTATTGTTCCCTTGGCTAACTTTTGCCTCTGTCATATTCAGTTGATTTGAAGAGATGAGGAATGATAAACAGGACCAGGTTACAAACATAGAACTGTTACATTTTGTTCATTTAGCCAGGAGCTTTATTCTTTTGTTTTTCATGAGATGGGTCATTTTAATAGTCAACGGTGTTGACGACAGTCACCATTCAATCTGTCATTTCTAATACAGTCTTTCCTAGGAGAATATTTCTCACGTGTTTGACAGAAAACATTATCTGTCCATCATTTCCATGGATTCCTGGGTCTCACGGGCAGAAGGACAAGGCAGATATGAGGCGGATCTGGTAAAGTAAGTCATTGTGTACTCTTTGTATTTGTTTGAAGATATTTGGTCTTTTTCAGTCATATATGTGATGGAGAACCAGTTGTTAGAACAATGTGTATATTGATGGAGAAACAGGTGGGCCAGAGTGGTCGGTAGTCTGTGTGACAAACAGTGATGCCACTTTCACTATCTGAAAATGAATGAATATATTCATAGTAGTGGGCATGCAAAGGTAATAAAGACCTGACCCCCAACATCAATAATATAATAATGATGAATTCATATTCTAAATCTGATCATTTAAGGAAGGCCATCCATATCTCCATCACAATCACTTAAACAAATGCAAAAATGGATATTCTTTCTAGAATATTTCTGATGAAATTGCTTCTGAAGGCTGCAAATTAGTGCTCAAGACCCTGTTGAAAAGCAGTTTCCTGTATTCACTTATGAAGTCAAATGCAGAAATTATATTTATTTGGATTTTATTTATAGCAGAGAGAATAACTTAAAAACTGACATAGCATTCTTTTCAAATCTGAACTCAATGTCTGATTTTTGGAAGATTCATATCAGCTCTACTCTTATAAATCAGAAAACAAAAACAAAACAAACAAACAAAAAACAACAACAAAAAAAGAAAAACAGGCCCAGACACCAGCAGTGACCCAGTCAACCACTGGCCAGTCAATATGAGAGCCAGCTGGTTCTTCTAGTGAAACCTTCACCTTTCTAATCAGAGGGTTTCAGGTTTTGCTCTCTATTGAGTCAATTGCTTGAGGGTAGAAAAAGAAAATCTTCGAATTGCATTACATACCACTCCTTTCCCTTTCTATAGATTTCCCCCTCTCTCCTTTCCAGGAATATTGATTTTCTTCCCTGGGTTTCTGAAAAAGCTTTTCTCCCCAGGCATCTTTATTTGGTTTGCTGACCAAAGCATTATTCACACTTCTCCTGCGGCCACGCCAATGCCACACCCGCTGCAAGGTGCTCCCGGTCTCCTACCTCTGAACAACAGTGGTCTGAATCTCTGACTTGAGCCGTGCAGCCCTTTGAAAGAAAAGTCATTTAGGAGCTCAGCCCTCTGAGGATGTAAAGCCCGTCGCAGGTGCTTGTTTTGTCTGTCTCCGTGTGTGGAAGATGCCTTCTGTGAGGTCCTGCGCCTCTCCGTAAGCAGCTGAGTAGTTCCTTGGGCTGACAAAATACTTTGTTGTGGCTCCATTACACACCCAGGGCAACCTCTTTAGCTGGATTTTGCAGACCGGGAAATGGGCTCTGAGGGGAAGTCACGCCTCATCTCAAGGTTTACTGAGGAGCCACGAGGAGGCCCCACCGCTGCCACAGCTAACTCATGGCCTCCGGCCAGGAAGTCTGGAGATTTTAAGACCATAATGTCAGCCAGGGTGACCTCTGGAACCTGTTCACCCCTTCACCCGTTGTGAACAAGAGAGCTGAATAGCCACTATCACAGATAATAACAACAGCTGACATTATTAATAGGATGCCTTACAGGCTGTAAAATACTTTCACAAACAGGATCTCATTTGATCCTCATAATCTCAACATGAGGTGCGTAAAGCAAGCAATTATTACTAATCTCCTTTTACAGAAGAGAAAAGGAAGTCCTGAGAGATGAATCCACTTCTGGGAGGTCTGACAACGTTCAGCTTTACCTAAGCCATGGTCAGGAAACTTTTCTGCGTTCCAGGAAATGGCCGGCCACAACGACTGGCCCTTCCCTATAAAAACTTACAAAACCCTCACAGGTGACCTCCTTGTTTACCTATGACAGAACCAGACACAGTGCCAGATCCTCCAAACTCCCATTCTTTGCCTTATATGTAATCAGTTGAACTGTTTGTATCTACTGACTAATCTAGACAAGGTACTTGCTAACTTGACCTGTTTAAAAGTTCGAAATGCCAAACTTTCTTTCTTTTTTTTTTTTTTCCCATCCCACCCCACCCAGATGGAGTTTCACTCTTGTCACCCAGGCTGGAGTGAGTGCAGTGGTGCCATCTGGGCTCAGTGCAACCTCTGCCTCCCGGGTTCAAGCAATTCTCCTGCCTCAGCCTCTAGAATAGCTGGGATTACAGGCATGTGCCACCACACCCGGCTAATTTTGTTTGTTTAGTAGAGACAGGGTTTCATCATGTTGGCCAGGCTTGTTACAAACTCCTGACCTGAGGTGATCTGCTGCCTCAGCCTCCCACAGTGCTGGGATTACAAGTGTGAGCCACAGTGCCTGGCCCGAAATGCTAAACTTTCATCAAGATATTGCAATAGTCTTTTCTAAGAAAGCTCTTCCTTACTTAACTTGTGCCTGGCCCCAAATGCTAAACTTTCATCAAATATTGCAATAGTCTTTTCTAAGAAAGCTCTTCCTTACTTAACTTGGGATTTGTTTTATCTGACACAGGGCACAGGGTAAAGATCAGAGGTGGCTTCCTGTCACTCATCCAGCCAGCCACCCAGCTATGGTTACCCACAGGGCCTGATAGCCATCCCTGCCAGCGGTCAGGGTTGCATTGTGGCCCCCACTCCAGGCCTTGCTTATTGCAGGCTTGGTTCCCATGGCTGCTCTCTGTGTTCTTGCAACCTTGCATCCTGCCAGAATCTCTGGAAGAAAGCTCTTTGGCGAGAAATGAAGAACAATCCCAAAGGTGCTCCAGGAAAGTTCATTATTTTGTGTACTCTGGTGTCTTACCTTAATCAGAGAACAGTTGTCTGTGATCCTCAAAGAGGGAATTAAAGGGAGGAATGGAACCAGAATTCAGTGACAACTGGAATGAGTGACTGAGGTGTAGCGTCAATCATCAAGGTTTATTAAACTACTTAGGGTGCGTCTGGAAAAAACATGAGCCACAAATACATCTGGGGTTGTTTTTCCAAAGAGGTTTTTGGGAGATTTAGTATTTATACATTTCCTTAGAGGGAAAAGGCATGTGGAAAGAGGGGCAGGTAGGCAGTTGGCAAATACTACATTTTACATAAGATAAGGCAAATGAAGAGAGAAAGAGAGTAAAGGAATAGTCCATTTTACTTATGTCTTTGTTCTGCACCTGGGAGGAAGTTCTTCATGACATCAGTGTGGAATCAACAAACTTTAGTTTTAGGAGCTAGGCTTAGTTTGTAGACCTACAGTTATAACTGGTGGTTCTGTTGATGGGATGCCAGTGAAGAATGTACTTAGGAATGATCTGTGAGGACTGTCCTTTCCTGATGCCTGAGTCCTTTTTCTTGGGGTGAGCGGGGGGTACAAAATAGGAGCATATATTTATGGAGTACATGAGATGTTTTGATACGGGCATGCAATGTGTAATAATCATGTCATGGACAATGAGGTATCCATCCCCTCAAGCATTTATCCTTTCTTTTATGAACAATCTGATTACACTTTTTTACTTATTTTAAAATGAACAATTAAGTTATTATTGACTATAATCACCTTATTGCCAATGTTTGTCATTCTGTGCCTGGCTTATTTCACTTGATAGAATGTTCACCAGTTCCATCCATGTTGCTGCAAATGTCAGGATCTCATTCTCTTTTAAGACTGAATAGTGCTCCATTGTGTATATGTAGCACATTTTCTTTATCCATTCATGTGTTGATGGACACAGGTTGCTTCCAAATCTTAGCTATTGTGAACAGGGCTGCAACAAACATGAGAGTGCAGAAATCTCTTGCATATACTGATTTCCTTTGTTTTGGGTGTATACCCAACAGTGGGATTGCTGGACCATATGGTAGCTCTATTTTTAGTTTTTTGAGGAACTTTCAAACTGTTCTCCATTGTGGTTGTACTAATTTATATTCCAACTAACAGTGTAGGAGTGTTCCCTTTCCTCCACATCCTCGCCAGCATTTGTTACTGCCTGTCTTTTGGATATAAGCCATTTTAACTGGGGTGAGATGATATCTCATGGTAGTTTTGTTTTGCATTTCTCTGATGATCAATGATGTTGAGCACTTTTTTGTATGCCTGTTTGCCATTTGCATGTCTTCTTCTGAGAAACCTCTATTCAAATCTTATGTCCAGTTTTTTGATCAGATTATTAGACTTTTTCCTATAGAGTTGTTTGAGTTCTTTATATATGGCGCTTATAAATCCCTTGTCAGATCGGTAGTTTGCAAATATTTTCTCCCATTATGTAGGTTGCCTCCTCACTTTGTTGATTGTTTCCTTTGCTGTGCAGAAGGTTTTTACCTTAATGTAATCCCATTTGTCCACTTCTGCTTTGGTTGCCTTGCTTGCTGGGTATTACTCAAGAAATTTTTACCCAAACCAATGTCCTGGAGAGTTTTTTCTATGTTTTCTTGTAGTAATTTCATAGTTTGAGGTCTTAGATTTAAGTCTTTAATTCATTTTGATTTAATTTTTGTATATGACCAGAGATAGGGGTCTAGTTTTTTCCTGCATATGAATATCCAGTTTCCCCAGAACCATTTATTGAAGAAACTGTCTTTTCCCCAGTGTATGTTCTTGGCACCTTTATTGAAAATTCACATATTGTAGGTGTGTGGATTTATTTCTGTGTTTTCTATTCTGTTTCATTGGTCTATGTGTCTGTTTTAATGCCAGTACCATGCTATTTTGGTTACTATGGTTCTGCAGTATAATTTGAAGTCAGGTAATGTGATTCTTCCAGTTTTGTTCTATTTGCTTAGGACAGCTTTGGCTATTCTGGGTGTTTTGTGGTTCCACATAAATTTTAGGATTGTTTTTTCTATTTCTCTAAAGAAGTTCAGTGGTATTTTGACAGGTATTGCATTGAATCTGTAGATTGATTTGGGTAGTATGGACAGTTTAATAATATTGATTCTTCCAATTTATGAACATGGAATATCTTTCCGTTTTTTTGGTGTTGTCTTCAGTTTCTTTCATCAGTGTTTTGTTGTTTCATTATAGAGATCTGTTGCTTCTTTAGGTTAATTCCTAGGTTTTTAATTTTACTTTTGGCTTTTGTAAATGGGATTTACAAAAATTTCTTTTTCAGGTTGTTCACTGTTGGTATACAGGAATGCTAATGATTTCTGTACGTTGATTTTATATCCTGCAACTTTACTAAATTTGTTTATCAGTTTTAATAGTTTTTTGGTGGAGTCTTTAGGTTTTTCCAAATATAAGATCATATCATTTGCAAACAAGGAGAATTTCACTTCTTTCTTTCCAATTTGGATGCCATTTATTTCTTTCTTCTGATTGCTTTAGCTAGGAATTCCAGTAGTATGTTGGATAATACTAGTGAAAGTGGGCATCCTTGTCATGGTCATGTTCCATATCTTAGAAAAAAGCTTTCAGTTTTTCCCCATTCAATATGATACAAGCTGTGGGTCTGTCATATATGGCTTTTATTATGTTGAGGTGTGTTTCTTCTACACCCAGTTTTTTTAGGGTTTCTTATCATGAAATGATGTTGAATTTTATTGAATGCTTTTTTGGCATCAATTCAAAAGATCCTTATATCCTTTATTCTGTTTTATCCTTTATCCTTTATTCTGTTGACATGATGTATCATGTTGATTAATATACATATGTTGAAAAATTCTTGCCTCCCAGGGATAAATCCCACTTGGTTATGATGAATGATCTTTCTAATGTGTTGTTGAATTCAGTTTGCTAGTATTTTGTTGAGGACTTAAAGGCCAGAGATTTTGGCCTGTGGTTTTCTTTTTTTGAGTGTCTTTGTCTGGTTTTGCATTATAGAATGAATTTGGAAGTATTCACTTCTCCTCTATTTTTCAAAATGGTTTGAGTAGGATTAGTATTAGTTCTTCCTTAAATGTTTGGTAGAATTCAGCAGTAAAGCCATTGGGTCCTGGGCTTTTCTTTACTGAGAGAATTTTTATTTGATCTCATTACTTGTTATTGGTTTGTTTAGGTTTTGAATTTCTTACTGGCACAAGCTTGGTAGGTTTTATGTGTCTAGAAATTTGTCCATTTCTTGGAGAAATTCCAATTTATTGGCCTATAGTTGCTTATAGTAGCCACTAATGATCCTTTGAATTTTTGCAGTATCAGTTGTGAAGTCTCCTATTTCATTTCTGATTTTATGTTTTTGTACCTCTATTTTTTAAATTAGTTTGACTAAAAGGTTTGTCAATTGTGTTTAACTATAAAAAGAACCTTTTTGTTTTATTGATCCTTTTTATTATTTTTTTTCATTTCAATTTCACTTATTTCTGCTCTGATCTTTATTACTTTTCTTTTACTAATTTTGAGTTTGGTGTGCTCTTGTTTTTCTATTTCTTTAAGATGCATCATTAGATCACTTATTTGAAGGATTTCCCCTTTTTTGATGTAAGCATTTGTAGATATAAACTTCATCTTAGTACTGCTTTTGCTGTATCCCATAGGTTTTGGTATGTTGTTTCCATTAACATCTGTTTCAAGACATTTTTCAATTTCCCTCTTAATTTCTCCATTGATCCACTAGTCATTCAGGAGCATATTGCTTAATTTCCATGTGTTTGTGTACTTCCCAAAATTCCTCATGTTATTGATTTCTAGTTTTATTCCATTGTGGTCAGAGAAGATGCTTGGAATTATTTTAATTTTTTGAATGTTTTAAGATTTGTTTTTCACCTAATGTATGGTCTACGCTTGAGAATGATCCTTGCACTGAGGAAAAGAATGTATATTCTGCAGCCATTGGATGAAATGTTCTATAAATATCTATTAGATCCATTTGGCCTATAGTGAAGATTAAGTCGGATGATTCTTGGTTGATTTTCTGTCTAAAAGATCTGTCCAATGCTGAAAGTGGGGTGTTGAAGTCTCCAGCTATTCTCGTATTAGAGTCTATCTTTCTCTTTAGCTCTGACATTTGCCTTATACATCTGGATGCTCCAGTGTTGGGGACATATATATCTAAAATTGTTATTCATATATTATCTTGCTGAATTGGCCCTTTAATCATTATATAGTGACCTTGTTTGTCATTTCTTATAGATTTTGTCTCAAAAATCTATTTTGTCTGAAAATATAGTGACTCCTGCTTATATCAGACAAATTTGATATTTTTCCATCCCTTTATTTTCAGTCTGTGTGTGTCTTTATAGGTGGTGTGTTTCCTATAGGCAAGATATCAGCAGGTCTTGCTTTTTTCATTCATTTAGCCAGGCTATGCCTTTTAATTTGGGAGTTTAGTCCATTTATATTCAATGTTATTATTGATAAGTAAAGACTTCCTCCTGCCATTTTGTTATTGTTTTCTGGTTGTTTTGTGGTCTTCTCTTCCTTCTCTCTTTTTCTTCCTGTATTCAATTAACTGAAGGTGATTTTCTCTGGTGATATGATTTAGTTTCTTGCTTTTCCTTTTTTGTGTATCCATTGTATGTTTTTTGGTTTGAAGTTACCATGAGGCCTGCAAATACTAGCTTATAACCCGTGATTGTAACCCAATAGCAACTTAACCACTGTTTGCATAAATAAACAAGCAAAAAGATAACTAATAAACACTCTACACATTTTTTTTTTTTTTTGAGACAGTGTCTTTGCTCTGTTGCCCAGGCTGGAGTGCAGTGGTGCAATCTCAGCTCACGGCTCTTTCTGCCTCCATATTCAAGTGATTCTCATACTTCAGTCTCCCAAGTAGTGGAGATTATAGTCATGTGCCAGCATGCCCAGCTGATTTTTGTGTTTTTAGTAGAGATGGGGTTTCACCATATTGGCCAGTCTGGTCTCGAACTCCTGACCTCAAGTGATCCGCCTGCCTCAGCCTCCCAAAGTGCTGGGTTTATAGGCATAAGCCACAATACCTGGCCAACATTCTACATCTTAACTTCATCCCCCCACTTTTTAACGTTTTGTTTTATCTATTTACATTTTCTTATACTGTCTATGTCTTGAAAAGTTGTTCTAGTTACTATTTTTGACTGGTTCATCATTTAGTCTTTCTACTTAGAATAAAAGTAGTTTACACACCACAGTTACAGTGTTGTAATAGTCTGTGTTTGTATACTTACCATTAACAGTGAGTTTTGTATCTTCAGGTGATTACTTATTGTTCATTAACACCCTTTTCTTTCTGATTGAAGTACTCCCTTTAGCATTTCTTGTAGGACAGGTCTAGTGTTGATGAAATCCTCAGCTTTTGTTTGTCTGGGAAAGTCTTTATTTCTCTTTCATGTTTGAGGGGTATTTTTTGCCAGATATACTGTTCTGGGGTGTACATTTTCTTCTTTCAGCACTTTAAATATGTCATGCTACTCTCTCCTGGCCTGTAAGATTTCCATTGAAAAGTCTGCTGCCAGAAGCATTGGTGCTTCGTTGTATGTTAATTGTTCCTTTTCTCTTGTTGCTTTTAGGATCCTTTATCCTTGATCTTTATCCTGAATTTGATTATTAAATGCCTTGAAGTGGTCTTCTTCGGGTTAAATCTGCTTGGTGTTCTATAACTTTCTTGTACTTGGATATTGATATCTCTCTCTAGGTTTGGGAAATTCTCTGATATCCCTTTAAATAAACTTTCTGCCCCTATGTCTTTCTCTGCCTCTTCTTTAAGGTCAATAACTCTCAGATGTTCCCTTTTGAGGCTATTTTATAAATCCTGTAGGTGTGCTTAATTGTATTTTATTCTTTTTTCTTTTGTCTCCTCTGGCTGTGTATTTTCAAACAGCCTATCTTCAGGCTCACTAATTCTTTCTTCTGCTTGATCAGTTCTGCTATTAAAAGACTCTGATGCATTCTTCAGTATGCCAGTTGCATTTTTCAGCTCCAGAATTTCTGCTTGATTCTTTTTAATTACTTCAGTCTCTGTTAAATTTCCCTGATAGAATTCTGAATTCCTTCTCTGTGTTATCTTGAATTTCTTTGAGTTTCCTCAATATAGCTATTTTGAATTCTCTGTCTAAAAGGTCACATATCTCTGTTTCATTAGGATTGGTCCCTGGTGCCTTATTTAGTTCATTTGATAAGGTCATGATTTCCTGGATGGTGCTGATGCTAGATGTTCTTCGGTGTCTGGGCATTGAAGAGTTAGGTATTTATTGTTGTCTTCACTGTCTGGGCTTGTTTGTACCCATCCTTCTTGGGAAGGCTCCAGATACTTAAAGAACTAGCGTGTTGTGATATAAGCTGTATCTGCTTTAGGGGGCACCCAAGCCCAGTAACACTGTGGTTCTTGCAGACTAGCAGAGATATACCATCTGGTATCTCTTGGTATTGATGGTCGTGGACAAGATCGAGGAGAATTCTCTAGATTACCAGGCAGAGACTCTTGTTCTCTTCCCTTACTTCCTCCCAAACAAACAGGGTCTCTCTATCTCTGTTCTGAGCCACCTAAAGCTGGAGGTGAAGTGACACAAGCACCCCTGTGGCTACCATCATTATGACGGCACTTGGTTGAACTGAAGCCAGCACAGCACTGGGTCTCACCCAAGGTCTGCTGTAACCTCTCTCTGGCCACTGCCTATGTTCACTCAAGGCCCTTGGGCTTTAGAGTAAGCAGATGGCAAAGCCAACCAGGCCTTTGTCTTTTCCTTCAGGGCAGCAAGTTTGCCCAGGCCCCTGGAGGGTCTAGAGGTGCCATCTGGGAGTCAGGGACTACAGTCAAAAACCTTAGAAGTCTACTTGGTGTTCTACTGTATTGCAGCTGAGCTGGCACTCAAACCACAAGACACAGTCCTTCCTGCTCTTCCTTCCCCTTTCCAAAGGCAAAGGAGCCTCACCCTGAAGTCCCTGCCACCACAGGTCACAGGGAGTACTGCCAGACTACTGCCGATGATCCCTTAAGACCCAAGAGCTCTTCAGTCAGCTTGTGGTGAATGCTGCCTGGCCTGGGACTCACCCTTCAGGGTAGTGGGCTCCCTTCTGGACACAGGCAGGTCCAGAAATGCCATCCAAGAGTCAAGTTCTGGAATAAGGGACCCCAGGAGCCCACTTGGTGCTCTACCCTTCTGTGGCCAAACCAGCACCTAAGGTGAAGGACAAAGTCCCCTTTACTTTTCCTTCTGCTTTTCTCAAGCAGAAGGACTCTCTTACTAGAGCTACCATAGCTGGGAATGTGCCGAGTCTCACCTGAAGCCAGCAAGTCTCAGAGGCTCACCAAGGCCCTCAACATAGTTCCTGGGTATTGCTGCTGTTTATTCAGGGCCCACGGGCTCTTCAGTTAGAAGGTGTTGAGTGCTGGCAGGACTGAGTTCTTCCCTTCAAGACAGCAGGTTCCCTTCTGGCCCGGGATGTGTCTAGAAATGTCATCCAGGCGCCAGGTCCTGGATCAAAGCCCTCACAACTGTGACTGGTATCCTATCCTGCTGTGGCTTAGCCGGTATCCAAGATACAAGACAAAGTCCTCCCCACCCTTCCCTCTCCTCTCCTCAAGCAGAAGGAAGGGGTCTCTTTTGGAGCCACAAGCTGTGCAGCCTGGGGTTAGGGGAGGGGCGATGCCAGTACTCCCTTGTCTTCCCCAGCTTGTGTCTCAGTATGTCGCCCATCCCCAGTCCACTGTCTCTGGGCCTGGTTCAGCAGTAGCTCTTGCCTAAGAGTTGCAGTTCCTGTGGCCTAGACTGCTTTTCAAGTTTACTTGGAGATACAGAGCGCTGTAGCCCTCAGTGGTGAGGTTTGCAGAAACTCAAGTTTGCACGGCTGGGATCTGTGATCCTTTCTGGCTAGGGCTGGTTTAAATGTTCCCTCTGTGGGTGAGAGTGAGCTGAGTTAGGTCCTTTCGGTTTTCCTTTCTGCTCTAACAGGACAGCACTGAGTTCAGTGCTTCACAATTGCTGTGCTCTCCCTCCTCTAGTGCCTAGAGATGCTCTCCACACCACATCACAACGGTTTTTCCTGCCTCTGAAGTTAAAACCAGGTACTATGAGGGCTCACCTGATTTTTGGTTCTGATGAAGGTTGTGTGTGTGTGTGTGTGTGTGTGTGTGTGTGTGTGTGTGTGTGTAAATTGGTGTCCTTGAAGGGAGGATGATGGGTGGAGTCTTCTATTTTGCCATCTTGCTCCACCTCCACCTCACCTGAGGCCTTTTACCTCTCTCTGAGGACCCGCCTAATGCGTAATGCTGGTAACAGGTATTCATTTGGGAGAAGGTGTTGCAGTGATCTTCCCTTTTGCATAAGAATTTTGGAGGGGTCCTGAGATACTTTAATTAATTGAAGAATAATCCCAAATGTTCTCCAGGAAAGTTTATGTTGTTTTGTTTATGCTGGTGGTTTACCTTAACCCAGAAAAGTTGCTGTGATCCAAAAAGGAGCAAGTTAAAGGGAGGAATGAAACAGGAATTCAGGATGAAAAAATGAGAAATCTTTCCAATGGTTGTTGTTTTGTTTATGATGAATGCCACGGATATCAGACATTCTTATGCAGAAGTGAGTTTAAAAGATCCAAAGCATTTCCACCGTTTTCTGTTTAAAGAGCAGCAACAAGAATCACACATGTTCCAACATGCAGTTTAGAGAGGCTAGAGGCACAGATATGGACAGACGTCCCTGCTCCTAACAGCTCTCTAAGGTCTGGTGGAGGATTCAGACACATGACCTGGCCTGGAGGATTGAGCTTCTGGATTGTCTGTAAGCTAGGCAATCCACTATTTAGTCTTTAGTACTGTAATAGAGGTCTCAGTAAGTGTGTACCTTGTTTGCCTACTTTATATATTTTTATTTTGTGCGATACCAAATATTGTGGAAGGATTTCAGGTAGGAATTTTGAGTGTTGTTTTTGCATCAATTTATAAAGATGACGGTCTCTGAGCTTTGCAGGCAGTATGTCTATACCGTGTTGATTCATGTGCCTGGCTACAGGTCACCACACACTATACACTCTTGAGTTTGCTCTGGAGAAATCTCAATGAGCCACCTGCAACATAACCTGCTTTGTGGCTGGGTTCCTTAAAATCCAATATATTCTGAAGGATGTGATCAATAAGCAGATGGCTCAAGCCCATACACATGCCAAGAAATGAGGCATCTAATTAACAGTTAGACAAGGGTGTGAGGGAATTGCAGAGGGGTGTGGAGGCCCTGCCTGGGCTGGGAGACCTCGGGATGGGAGAATCAGGGCTGGTTGTGTGACGTGTCGACACATAGTGGCTGTTGGAAGTGTGAACACAGTCGGGACCTTCAGGCTGTGCTCATTAGGGCTTTGCAAAATTCCCAATTATCTCTTGACCTGGCCCTAAGCAAGGCCCCTTTCCATTGCCCTGGAAAAAAAAAATGAGTGAGTCAAAAAGGACACCTGATTTGACACGCTACATGGGTTTGGTTCTGAAGCTAGGCTAGTAGAACACAGAAATGAGGCATTCTTGTGCAACCAGTGATGACTACAGGAAGGATAAGTACCAGGAGCATCCGGTGTCACAGAGGCAAGGGCGGGCTTTTTGAGATGGCTGTATGGTGCCCCAAACAAAGGCCAGAAAGAGACGATTTGTGAGAAGAGACCAACGCGCCCCTTGCAAAGAATTCATAAGCAGTGTTTCAGTTAAACTGCAAATCTCATGGATGGTGTCAAAAGAGTGAGGACTCCTTTCCGTACACGTCTCACAGCTCAAACAGGAACAGAAAGAGGCTTTCTCTCTGTGTCTTGGAGAACCCACCACTAAGTGCTCCCTGGTGTCAGAGAAGGGAATTGGGCTCAGTGTGACAGCTTTCCCTGCTATATGTGAAATACATTATCAATCTGTTGTCAGCCTGATGCTCCCTAGCTGACTGTTTTGTTGTTGCGCTTCCAGTGTTACCCTGGGTTGGTCCCTGCGTGATGTTTCTAATATAAAATATGCAGATTGTGAAAGAGAAGACAATGCTTCGAGTCTGATCTATCCTAAGATGAATGTGCTAATGCTCCCAAGACCCATAAGACAGAGGAGGTCAAGAAGGTGCCTTGTGGTAGGCGATGCATCTTCAAATTCGTTGACACAGGCTCGTGAATTCAGATTAGCACTTGACCACAAATACACATGTTAAAACAAAGTCACATTAAACATCTCTCTTCCTCAATCTCCTTTCCCAGCTTCCTTGCAGAGAAGAAATGCAAGAAGGTGAGTGAATAAAATCAGAATTATTTGCTTTTTATTCTGAGGACAAAAGACAACTGGTTGGATTCCATGGGCACACAGTGATCTAAGGTTATAGTAACCAACAACTATGACTAAGAAAGTGATAGTCATTGTGATAGTTAATTTTACATGTCCATTTGGCTAGGCTATGGTGCCCAATTGTTTTATCAAATGCTAGCTGGATGTTGCTGTGAAGGTGATTAACATTTAAATCCATAAGCTTTGAGTAAAGTTGATTACCGTCCATAATGTGAGTGGCCCTCATCCAGTTAGCTGAAGGACTTACGAGAATGATTGAGGTTTCTGGAAGAAGAAATTCTGCCTCAAGACTTTTAACATAGAGACTCTCAGCCTGCAGATTTTGGACTCAAGACTGCAACATCATCTTGTGCCTGAAATTCCAGTAGGCTGCCTTGCCCTACAGATTTTGGACTTGTCATCATCCCCCATAATGACATGAGTCAATTCCTTAACATAAATCTCTCCTATATATCCTACTGGCTCTGTTTTTCTGGATAACCCTGATTAACACAATCATTCTGTCTATTGTAGATGATCTGTCCTCCTTGACCACACTCATTGGCCAACACTAGCCTTATTACCTGCAAACATGAGATAGCATGATCTATTGCCCAGAAAAGAGGATAGAATAGAGGCTATTTTTTTCCTCCCATCTCCCTGTTCCCCTGTCCTCTATCCTTATCTTAATCTTTCCAACCTACTATTATGCTCCAAGAGTGTTACCTACTTTTATTATTTTCTGTCTTCAAAGTTAAAGAGTGCCTGAAAGTATGCAGATAATTCAAACAAAAAAGCAACACTTCCCTGTGTAATTATTCGCTCAACTCTTTGCCTTGGTGTAATTTATGTGCTCAACACTTTTCCTTGGAATCTTAGCTAAAGAAGACTTTTCTGGGGACTGGGCGTGGTGGCTGAAGCCTGTAATCCCAGCACTTTGGGAGGCCGAGGTGGGCGGATCACGAGGTCAGGAGATCAAGACCATCCTGGCTAACACGGTGAAACCCCATCTCTACTAAAAATACAAAAAAATTAGCCAGGTGTGGTGGCGGACACCTGTAGTCCCAGCTATTCAGGAGGCTGAGGCAGGAGAATGGCGTGAACCCAGGAGGCAGAACTTGCAGTGAGCCAAGATCGCATCATTGCACTCCAGCCTGGGCGACAGAGCAAGACTCTGTCTCAAAAAAAAAAAAAAAAAGAACACTTCTGGAAACTGTTTTTCCTGGCAGTCCTTGGTCAAGTTGCTAATTTAATATTTTAGATGGTTTTGACATGGTTTAGAATGCAAAATTATCATCTTTTAATATGTATTTGTTTGCAGAGAACCCATGGGCCTTAGTTCATTTCTGCACCCACAGAGAGGTTTAATCTCATTTAAATGCTAAACATCGCAGTGGTCAGGCATTAGGAACACTGCTAGGAAGGCTGCAACAAAACAAGTGTTTCCACTTAGTGTTATTTGGGGGTTACCATCCACATCATACAGGAAATGGAGTGACAAATACCAATTTGAGAAAGGAACACAATGAAACTACATAATTCCTCTTGTAGGTTAGTTGATCTGTAACCAAGCCTTAAAAATTGACATTGACATTGAACCACTGCCTGTGAAGGGAGAATGAGAAATAACCTCAAATCTGCCTCTAAATAAACCATCCATAGCTTAATTCAAGAGTTGGGATACCAGCTCTCTAGCATTCAAATGGAATTTAGGTATTTACTAGGCATACTGTGGGGGATTTTTAAGTTGAATGGGTAACATAGAGCATTGGGGCAAAATAATAGAATACGGTTGCTGGTTTCAATGACAGCATGGGTCTTTTCCACCAAGAGACTACAGTACAAAATTTAAATCAGGTAAACTGGTCCAATGTAGAAAGCAGGCAGTCAGGGAAGCATAGTTTAAGGGTGGCATTGAAATAGTTTTGCCACTTCAATTTGGTCACTAGCTTTTGGGATCAGAGTATAGTGTCAATGAAGAGAGTCAAATTCTGTAAAATATTTGAAGAGATTTATTCTGAGCCAAATATGAGTGACCATGGCTCATGACAGCCCTCAGGAGACCCTGAGAACATGTACCCAAGGTAGTTGGGGCACAGCTTGGTTTTATACACTTTAGGGAGACACAAGACATCAATCAAATACATTTAAGATATACATTGGTTCGATTCAGAAAGGTGGTACAACCTGAAGTGGCAGGGGGGTGGTGGCGGGGCAGCTTCCAAGTTATAGGTAGATTTAAACATTTTCTGATTGGCAATTGGTTGAAAGACTTACTATCAATAGAAAGAAATGTCTGAGTTATGATAAAATGTTGCTGAGACCAAAGTTTTATCATGCAGATGAAGCCTCCAGGTAGCAGGCTCTAGAGAGAATAGATTGTAAATATTTCTTATCAGACTTAAGGTCTGTGTTGATGTTACATGCTGGTCAGCTCTTCCTGAATTCCAAAAGGGAGGTGGTATAACGAGGTATGTCTAACCTCTCTAAGAGCTCCCTCTTAGAAACAAACAGACAAAACACACAACAAAAACCACACTTGTAAACCCATCGTCCCATCTCTCCACAGCTTGACTTCTTTTCATAATCCAGATTTGGCTTAGGGATCCAAGAGTCTTGAAAATATTTCCCATGCATTTATTCTGAAATTTGCCAAGGGTAATTTGACTCCTCCCTTTGGGTTTTGTGTTTATGGTGCCTGAGATTTCAAATTTGACATTGTTAATTTTGTTCCCCACCTCCAATCAGCCTTGCCCACCTCAACAAATGTCCACTTCATTCTTTCGGTGGGGGTCACTCTGGACTTTGTTCTTTCTCTCAAATTGTCAGTCAACAACTCTGTCGGCCCTGCCTTTGAAATAAATTCATCTAGGATCCTGCCCCTCTTCACCACTGCCACCACCATGCTGGCTAAAGCCACTGTTATTTCTCGTAGGTTAGGACAACACCTTCTGTCTGGTGTTGCCTCTACTGTCTAGTCTCCACACATAGCCAGAATACTCTTAAAACATACATCAGATACCATCATTTCTTAGCTTGCCATTCTCTAATGATGTCCCACAATTCTTAGAGTAACATCTCAAAATGTGACCATGCCCTGTGTATTAGTCGTCCTCATCCTCCTCCTCCTCCTCCCCTTCTTCTTCTTCTTCTTCTTTATCATCATTAAACTTTAAGTTCTGGGATAGATGTGCAGAATATGCAGGTTTATTACATAGGTATACATGTGCCATGTGGTTTTCTGCACCCGTCAACCCATTGTCTAGGATTTGAGTGCTGCATGCATTAGGTATTTGTCCTAATGCTCTCCCTCCCCTTGTCCCCCATCCCCTGAGAGGCCCCAGTGTGTGATGTTCCCTTCTCTGTGTCCATGTGTTCTCATTGTTCAACTCTCACTTATGAGTGAAAACATGTGGTGTTTGGTTTTCTGTTCCTGTGTTAGTTTGCTGAGAATAATGGTTTCCAGATTCATCCATGTCCCTGCAAAGGACATGAATTCATTCTTTTTTATGGCTGCATAGTATTCCATGGTGTATATGTGCCATATTTTCTATATCCAGTCTATCATTGATGGGCATTTGGGTTGGTTCCAAGCCTTTGCGATTGTGAATAGCACTGCAATAAACATACATGTGCATGTATCTTTACAGTAGAATGATTTATCATCCTTTGGGTGTTTATACCCAGTAATGGGATTGTTGGGTCAAATGGTATTTCTGGTTCTAGATCTTGAGGAATCGCCACACTGTCTTCCACAATGGCTGAACTAATTTACACTGACACAGTGTAAAAGCTTTCCTATTTCTCGACATCCTCTCCAGCATCTGTTGTTTCCTGACTTTTTAATATTTGCCATTCTAACTGGCATGAGATGGTATCTCACTGCGGTTTTGATTTGCATTTCTCTAACGACCAGTGATGAGCTTTTTTTTTCATGTTTGTAGGCTGCATAAATGCCTTCTTTAGAGAAGTGTCTGTTCATATCCTTCACCCACTTTTTGATGGGGTTGTTTTTTTCTTGTAAATTTGTTTAAGTTCCTTGTAGATTCTGGATGTTAGACCTTTGTCAGATGGAGAGATTGCAAAAAATTTCTCCCATTCTGTAGGTTGCCTGTTCACTCTGATGATAGTTTCTTTTACTATGCAGAAGCTCCTTAGTTTAAGTAGATCCCATCTGTCAATTTTGGCTTTTGTTGCCATTGCTTTTGGTGTTTTTGTCATGAAGTCTTTGCCCATGCCTATGTCCTGAGGGGTATTGCCTAGGTTTTCTTCTAGGGTTTTTATGGTTTTAGGTTTTATGTTTAAATCTTTAGGCAATCTTGTGTTAATTTTTGTATAAGGTGTAAGGAAGGGGTCCAGTTTCAGTTTTCTGCATATGCTTAGCCAGTGTCCCCAGCACCACTTATTAAATAGGGAATCCTCTCCCCATTGCTTATTTTTGTCAGGTTTGTTGAAGATCAGATGGTTGTAGATGTGTGGTGTTATTTCTGTGGCCTTTGTTCTGTTCCATTGGTCTATATATCTGTTTTGGTACCAGTACCATGCTGTTTTGGTTGCTGTAGCCTTGTAGTATAGTTTGAAGCCAGGGAGTGTGATGCCTCCAGCTTTGTTCTTTTTGCTTAGGATTGTCATGGCTATACAGGCTCTTTTCTGGTTCCACATAAAATTTAAAGTAGTTTTTTCTAGTTCTGTGAAGAAAATCAATGGTAGCTTGATGGGAATAGCACTGAATCTATAAATTACTTTGGGCAGTATGGCCATTTTCACAATATCGATTCTTCCTATCCATGAGGATGGAATGTTTTTCCATTTGTTTGTGTCCTCTCTTATTTCCTTGAGCAGTGGTTTGTAGTTCTTGAAGAGGTTCTTCGCGTCCCTTGTAAGTTGTATTCCTAGGTATTTTATTTCCTTTGTAGCAATTGTGAATGAGAGTTCACTCATGATTTGGCTCTCTTTTCATCTGTTATTGGTGTTTAGGAATGCTTGTGGGTTTTGCACATTGATTTTGTATCCTGAGACTTTGCTGAAGGTTCTTATCAGCTTAAGGAGATTTTGGGCAGAGATGATGGGGTTTTCTAAATATATAATCACATCATCTGGAAATAGACAATTTGACTTCCCCTCTTCCTATCTGAATACTCTTTCTTTCTCTTGCCTGATTGCCCTAGCCAGAACTTCCAATACTATGTTGAATAGGAGTGGTGAGAGAGGGCATCCTTGTCTTGTGCCAGTTTTCAAAGGGAATGCTTCCAGCTTTTGCCCATTCAGTATGATATTGGCTGTGGGTTTGTCATAAATAGGCCTCATTATTTTGACATATGTTCCATAAATCCCTAGTTTATTGAGTGTTTTTAGCATGAAGGGATGTTGAATTTTATTGAAGGCCTTTTCTGCATCTATTGAGATAATCATGTGGTTTTTGTCATTGGTTCTGTTTATGTGATGGATTATGTTTATTGATTTGCATATGTTTGAACCAGCTTTGTATCCCAGGGATGAAGCCGACTTGATCGTGGTGGATAAGCCTTTTGATGTGCTCTTGGATTCGCTTTGCCAGTATTTTATTGAGGATTTTCGCAGCGATGTTCATCAGGGATATTGGCTTGAAATTTTATTTTTTTGTTGTGTCTCTGCTAGGTTTTGGTATCAGGATGATGCTGGCCTTATAAAATTAGGGAGGATTCCCTCTTTTCCTATTGTTTGGAGTAGCTTCAGGAGGAATGGAACCAACTCCTCTTTGTACCTCTGGTAGAATTTGGCTGTGAATCCATCTGGTCCTGGGCTTTTTTTGGTTCGTAGGCTATTAATTACTGCCTCAATTTCAGAACTTGTTATTAGTGTATATGGGGATTCAACTTCTTCCTGGGTTAGTCTTGGGAGGGTGTATGTATCCAAGAATTTATCCATTTCTTCTACATTTTCTAGTTTACTTGCATAGAGGTTTTCATAGCAGTCTCTGATGGTAGTTTTTATTTCTGTGGGATCAGTGGTGATATTCCCTTTATCATTTTTTTATTGTGTCTATTTGATTCTTCTCTCTTTTCTTCTTTATTAGTCTGGCTAGCAGTCTATCTATTTTGTTAATCTTTTCAAAAAACCAGCTCCTGGATTCATTGATTTTTTGAAGGGTTTTTCATGTCTCTGTCTCCTTCAGTTCTGCTGTTAGTGTGTTGGTTTTAGATCTTTCCTGCTTTCTGATGTGGGCATTATAGTGCTATAAATTTCCCTCTTAACACTGCTTTAGCTGTGTCCCACAGATTCTGGCATGTTGTGTCTTTATTCTCATTGGTTTCAAAGAACTTATTTATTTCTGCCTCAATTTTGTTATTTACCCAGTAGTCATTCAGGAGCAGGTTGTTCAGTTTCCATGTAGTTGTGTGGTTTTGAATGAGTTTCTTAATCCTGAGTTCTAATTTGATTGCACTATGGTCTGAGAGACTGTTTGTTACGATTTCCATTCTTTTGCAATTGCTGAGGAGTGTTTTACTTTCAATTACGTGGTCAATTTTAGAATAACTGCTACGTGGTGAAGAGAAGAATGTATATTCTATTGATTTGGGGTAGAGAGTTCTGTAGATGTCTATTAGGTCTGCTTGGTCCAGAGCTGAGTTTAAGTCCTGAATATCCTTGTTAATTTTCTGTCTCATTGTTCTGCCTAATACTGACAGTGGGGTGTTAAAGTCTCCTACTATTATTGTGTTGGAGACTAAGTCTCTTTGTAGGTCTCTAAGAACTTGCTTTATGAATCTGGGTGCTCCCGTACTGGGTACATATATATTTAGGAAAGTTAGCTCTTCTTGTTGCATTGATCCCTTTACCATTATGTAATGCCCTTCTTTGTCTTTTTTTCATCTTTGTTGGTTTAAAGTCTGTTTTATCAGAGACTAGGATTGCAACACCTGCTGTTTTTATTTATTTATTTATTTATTTATTTTTATTTTTTTAGCTTTCCATTTGCTTGGTAACTATTCCTCCATCTCTTTATTTTGAGCGTATGTGTGTCTTTGCATGTGAGTTGGGTCTCCTAAATACAGCACACCAATGGGTCTTGACTCTATCCAATTTGCCAGTCTGTGTCTTTTAATTGGGGCATTTAGTCCATTTACTTAAAGGTAATATCATTATGTGTGAATTTGTTCCTGTCATCATGACGCTAGCTGTTTATTTTGCACATTAGTTGATGCAGTTTCTTCATAGTGTCAATGGTCTTTACATTTCGGTTTGTTTTTGCAGTGGCTGGTACCAGTTTTTTCTTTCCATGTTTAGTGCTTCCTTCAGGAACTCTTGTAAGGCAGGCCTGGTGTTGACAAAATCCCTCAGCATTTGCTTGTCTATAAAGGATTTTTTTCTCCTTAACTTATGAAGCTTAGTTTGGCTGGATATAAAATTATGGGTCGAAAATTCTTTTCTTTAAGAATGTTGAATATTGGCCCCCACTCTCTTCTGGCTTGTAGGGTTTCTGCAGAGAGATCCACTGTTAGTCTAATGGGCTTCCCTTTGTAGGTAACCTGACCTTTCTCTCTGGCTGTGCTTAACACTTTTTCCTTGTTTTCAACCTTGGAAAATCTGATGATTATGTGTCTTGGGGTTGCTCTTCTCGAGGAGTATCTTTTTGGTGTTCTCTATATTTCCTGAATTTGAATGTTGACCTGTCTTGTTAGGCTGTGGAAGTTCTCTTGGAAAATATCCTGAAGTATGTTTCTTGGAAAATATCCTGAAGTATGTTTGGAAAATATCCTGAAGTATACTTTCCAACTTGGTTCCGTTCTCCCCATCACTTTCAGGTACACTAATCAATCATAGGTCTTTTCACATAGTCCCATATTTCTTGGAGGCTTTATTTGTTCCTTTTCATTCTTTTTTCTCTAATCTTGTCTTCACGCTTTATTTCATTAAGCTGATCTTCAATCTCTGATATCCTTTCTTCTGCTTGATCGATTTGGCTATTGATACTTGTGTATGCCTTACGAAGTTCTCATGCTGTGTTTTTCAGCTCCATCAGATCATTTATGTTCTTCTCTAAACTGCTTATTCTAGTTAGCAATTCCTCTAACCTTTTATCAAGGTTCTTAGCTTCCTTGCATTGGTTTAGAACATGCTCCTTTAGCTCAGTGGAGTTTGATATTACCCACCTTCTGAAGCCTACTTCTGTCGATTTGTCAAACTCATTCTCCATCCAGTTTTGTGCCCTTGCTGGAGAGGAGTTGCAATCATTTGGAGGAGAAGAGGCATTCTGTTTTTTGGAATTTTCAACATTTTTGCACTGTTTTTTCCTCATCTTCGTGGATTTATCTACCTTTGATTTTTGATACTAATGACCTTTGGGTGGGGTTTTTCTGTGGGCATCTTTTTTGTTGATGTTGATGTTATTGCTTTCTGTTTGTTAGTTTTCCTTCTAACAGTCAGGCCCCTCTTCTGCAGGTCTGCTGGAGTTTGCTGGAGGTCCACTCCAGACCCTGTTTGCCTGGGTATCACCAGTGGAGGCTGCAGAACAGCAAATATTGCTGCCTGCTCCTTCCTTTAGTAGCTTCGTCCCAGAGTGGCATCTGCCAGAAGTCAGCTGGAGCTCTTCTGTATGAGGTGTCTGTTGAACCCTGCTGGAAGGTGTCTCCCTGTCAGGAGGCATGAGGGTCAGGGACCCCCTTAAGGAGACAGTCTGTCTCTTAGCAGAGCTTGGACACTGTGCTGGGAGATCCGCTGCTCTCTTCAGAGCTGACAGGCAGAACGTTTAAGTCTGCTGAAGCTGGATCCACAGCCGCCCCTTCCCCCAGGTGCTCTGTCCCAGGCAGATGGGAATTTTACCTATCAGCCCCTGGCTGGGGCTGCTGCCTTTCTTTCAGAGATGCCCTGCCCAGAGAGGAGGAATCTGGAGAGGCAGTCTGGCCCCAGGTACTTTGCCATGCTGCGGTGAGTTCTGCAGTCAGAGTTAACACTGTAAGGGGAAAAGCACCTACTCAAGCCTCAGTAATGGTGGACGCCCCTCCCCCAACAAGCTCAATTGTCCCAGGTTGACTTCATACTGCTGTGCTGGCAGCGAGAATTTCAAGCCAGTGGATTTTAGCTTGCTGGACTTTGTGGGAATGGGACCCGCTGTGCGAGAAGACTTGGCTTCCTGGCTTCAGCCCCCTTTCCAGGGGAGTGAGTGGTTCTGTCTCACTGGGGTTCCAGGCACTGCTGGTGTATGAAAAAAAACTCCTGCAGCTGTTTATCTGCCCAGAGAGTTGCCTAGTTTTGTGCTTGAAACCCAGGGCCCTGGTAGTGTAGGCACACGAGGGAATCTCCTGGTCTGTGGGTGGCAAAAACCATGGAAAAAGCATAGTATCTGGGCTGGATAGCACAGTCCCTCACAGTAGAGTCCCTCAGGGCTTCCCTTGGCTAGGAGAGGGAGGTCCATGACCCCTTGCACTTCCTGGGTGAGGCGATACCCCACCCTGCTTCTGTTCCCCCTCCATGGGCTGCACCCACTGTCTAACCAGTCCCAGTGAGATAAACCGGGCACCTCAGTTGGAAATGCAATAATCACCCACCTTCTGCGTTGGTCTTGCTGGGAGCTGCAGACTGAAGCTGTTCCTATTCAGCCATCTTGCCAACTCTCTTGTATTAGTTTTCTATTGCTGCCATAACGAATAGTCTCCATCTTAGCAGCTAAAAACAACACCCATTTATCAACTCACAGTTCTGCAGGTCAGAGTCTCGTAGGCTTGGCTAGTTTCTCTGTCCTGAGTCTCATCAGATTGACAGCAAGGGGCTGACAAGGCTGTATTCCCTTTTGAAAATTTTGGAGATGGATGTGTGTCTTTGTTCATTCAGGTTATTCACTGAATTCAGTTCCTGTGGTTGTAGCAATGAGATCTCCGTTTCCTTTCTGGCGGTCAGCCCAGGGTAGCCTTTGCTCCTAGATGCTGCTTGCATCCCTCAATCTTTCCAGGTGGCCCCTCCACCCACAGCAGGTAGGGTCCAGGTCCCTCTCTTGCTTTAGATCTTTCCTCCTTACTCTTCTCACTCCAGCCACATTTCTCTCACTCCAGCCAGAGACATTTCTCTAATTTTAGATGGGTTCCACTCCCTGGTTTAAGGTCTGCTATCTTAATTGCATCTGCCAAATCTCATCATAGCAGTACCCAGGTTAATATTTGATTGAATTACTGGGAGATAGGAATAGTGAGGGACTACCACAGCCTAGGAAGTCTTGAATGATATGATTCCTGTGACTTCTCTGACTTCATGTCATCCCTCTTTCCCTTTTAATATCTAGACTCCAAGTCAGTATGGCCTCCTTGCTGTTTTCTCCAATTGACCAAACCTATATCCACTTGAGGGCCTTGACACCTCACATTTCCTCTGCCAGAACACCCTTGCCCGAGGCCTTTCCATGGCCCACTCTCTCACTAAGTTGGATGAGTCCTCTGGGAAGCAGACTCCAAGGCAGTATTAGGAGAGCTCAAGATTTATTGGGGGTAAGGCCTGTGAAAGATAAAGGAGAGAAGGGACAGGAGTGGGAAGGCTGGGCCTTCAGACCACAGTGCAGGTCTGACATCCTTGCAGGGATAGGAGGGGATAGGAGGATTGGATGAAGAGCCTCAGATTTCCATGCATACTGCACTGAGAAAGTGTCAGCCAGCCCAGCAGGGAGCTTTTGCCACAGAGATTGCCTGTGGAAGGGTTCCACGCTGCCCGGGAAATGGCAAGCCTTTGTATCATTGTGCTCCGTCATTGGCTGAGGATTATCCAGGAAGCATGTGACCTCCACTCAAAAGCTGAGGGAGAAACAACCAAATGTCCATCAACAGATGAGTGGATGGACAAAACGTAGTATGCACATTCAGTGGAATATTATCCAGCCATGAAAAGGAATGAAGTATTGACACACACTACCACATGGATGAACATTGAAAACACTGTGCTCAGTGAAATAAAACAGTCACAAAAGGACAAATATTGTATGCTTCTACTTATGGTAAATATTTAGAACAGGTAAATCCATAGAGACAAAATATAGATTAGAAGGTCCAAGGCTTGCAGAAGGAAGAAATGAGGAGTTATCATTTAACGGGTACAGTTTCTGTTTGAGGTGTTAACAATTTTTGAAACTGGATAGTGGTGGTGATAGTTGCACAGAATTGTGAATATAATTAACACCACTTTAAAATCTTAAAAATGGTTGAAGTGGCAAATTTTATGCTAAATACATTTTACTACAGTAAAAAACAAAACAAAACAAAAAAACAGACCGAGGCAGATCCTGAAAGCACCAGCAGCTAGAAGCTGTCAGCAAATAGCACCTTTTGTGGGAAGCACATCTCCATGGCTGCCATGCTCACTGCCTCGGGTCTCTGCCGAAATGGCAACTGAGCAGTGAGTCCCTTAATGACTAAATTACATCCAAGAGGAAGGCCTATCCTTCTCAGTCAAGTTAATTTTTCTCCATTACACTTAAAGCCTTCTGACTTATATATTTACCTGTTTATTTTCTGCTTCCCCAATAGACCATAAACACCATGAGATCAGAGCATCCATCTGTAGACTCACAGAGCAAGAAGCGTGACTGCCCCAATCTTGAATGGATGAGTAAGTAAGTGAACTACCTGATGATTCATTCATCGGACAATAGTCGATCTGAGGCAATTACAGTGTGTCTTGTGTTATTTAGACTTTCCATTGATAAATTACTATAGGCAGAGTTCAGACAGTTCTTCCTAATTAGAGAATAACCTGTCTTTTGGAAAGCTACTTTGTTTTTTTTCCCCCTGTGAATTGAATTCTCAGAGGATCATCACAGGAAAGGAGATCTCTCTGGTGTAACTTTTGTACTGAATCTGC